>NW_013171811.1:0-123480 GCF_000001405.40 Homo sapiens
GAACAGCATGGGGAAACTACCCCCATGATTAATCACCCCCCATGAGGTCCCTCCCCCAAGAGTGGGGAACAATTTGGATTGCAATTTAAGATGAGATTTGGGTAGGGATACAGAGCCAGACTGTATCAGTGCCTATATTGTGTATAACCTAATGAGGCATACTAGGATATTTTGGTGAAAAAGACATCCCTGCACCAAGTAACTAAATCTGAAACTTCCTTTTGGGAAGGCCAGGCAAGGACTAAAATACTGAATGTAGTATTTGAAAAAAGAATGCAGTAGTAACACCAAGGAAATGAAGTAACATTTAGAGAAGTATAGATGAAAATCATAGTGAGTGAATGGGGCCATTTATTGCAATGGTGATAGCACAAAAGAACTAGCAGAATGACCAAACCAAAGTTGAAATGCTAGTGGAGAAATTCTTGACAACACTAGCTCAAATATTAACATTGAAGTTGATTTAAAGTTTTGAATTGTTGAAGTCATCTTTAATATATAAATTCAGGTCCTGGATTCTGAACTTTTCTATCATAAATGTTAGTGTAATCCTTGACTTTTTTTATTTTGATGAATATTCCTTTAGCTGATATTTATTTTACGGAAGGGTTTTAAATAAGCACTTACCAACTTAATTGCAACTGTGTTTCTGTTTTCCTCACTACGTTGTCAGCCTTAGAGAGCAGGTACAATGTCTGTTTTTCCACTTGTATACCTCTGCACAGTTCATGGTAATGGGTACCATATTATTGAGTAAATGGCTGGATGCATAGTTGGATGGATGGATTGGTGGTTGTCTAGCTGGATTAATGGATTTGGAATGTCCCAGCAGGATGATCCACTTTTGAAATATTCTATCCATGTGTAAACATTTCTACTTTTTCAGGAATTATCAGTGGAGTGTTCTGTGGGAAACAAACCATATCGGTAGTGGCAATGGGTTCTGATAATAAGCAAAGCCCTTGTATCCTTTATCATAGTCCTGTATCACAGTTATATGCTTGTTCAGTTTTATATGATCATTTCTTAAAGGACTGACTCTTAGACATAATGTGGACTCCTGTGAAAGAACTATATTTGAAAGCTAAATATAGCCATGAGTGCCAAAAATGTAATTAGCACTGCTTTTAAGGAGCCCATCTTAGTAATCTATCTTTGTTTATCTTACAGGAATACTCATCATCTGATTTGCTCCATGTGAAAAAAAATCCCTTCCAATGTCCAAGTATCCTGCAATGTTGCAGGGTACTGATATGGTCTGGCTCTGTGTCCCCACCCAAATCTCATCTTGCATTGGAATCCAAATTATAATCCCCACATGTTGGGTGAGGGTCCACGTGGGAAGTGATTGGATCATGAGGGCGGTTCCCCCATGCTGTTCTCATGATAGTGGGTGAGTTCTCATGAGACTGATGGTTTTATAAGGGGCTATTTCTCCTTCACTTTACACTTTTCTCACATGCCATCATGTGAAGAAGGACTTGTTTGCTTCCCCTTCTGCCATGATGGTAAGTTTCCTGAGGCCTCCCCAGCCATGCAGAACTGTGAGTTAATTAAACCTCTTTCCTTTATAAATTTCCCAGTTTGGGGTATTTCTTCATTGTATCATGAAAATGAACTAATACAGTAAATTGGTACCAGGGTAGTGGGGCGCTGCTATAAAGTTACCTGAAAATGTGGAAGTGACTTTGGAACTGGGTAATAGACAAAGGTTGAAACAGTTGTGAGGGCTCAGAAAAATACTGGAAGATGTGGAAAAGTTTGGAACTTCCTAGAGACTAGCTGAATTGTTCTGACCAAAATTCTGATAGTGATATGGACAATGAAGTCCAGGCTGAGGTAGTCTTAGATGCAGATGAGGAACTTCTTGGGAACTGGAGCAAAGGTCACTCTTGCTATGCTTTAGCAAGGAGACTGATGGCATTTTTCCCCTGCCCTAGAGATCTGTGGAACTTGAACTTGAGAGAGATTGTCTGAAATTGGCACTTATGTTTAAAAGGGAAGCAGAGCATAAAAGTTTGGAAAATTTGCAGCCTAATGTTGTGATAGAAAAGAAAAATCAATTTTCTGGAGAGAAATTCAAGTCTTCTGCATAAAGTTGCATAGGTAATGAGGAATCAAATGTTAATCACCAAGACAATGGGGAATTTGTCTCCAAGGCATGTCAGAGACCTTCTCAGCCGTTCTCATTATAGGCCCAGAGGCCTAGGAGGGAAAAATGGTTTTGTGTGTCAGCCTCAGGGCCCCCTTTCTCTGTGCAGTCTCAGGACATGGCACTAGGTGTCCCAGCTGCTTCAGCTCCAGCCATGGGTAAAGACCAAGGTACAGCTTGGGCCTTTGTTTTAGAGGGTGGAAGTCCCAAGCCTTGACAGCTTCTGCATGATATTTGTCCTCTGGGTACACGGAAGTCAAGAATTGAGGTTTGGGAACCTCCACCTTGCTTTCAGAGGATGTATGGAAATGCCTGGATATCCAGGTAGAAGTCTGCTGCAGGGGTGGAGCCCTCAGAGAACCTCTGCTAGGGCAGTGCGGAAGGGAAATATGGGGTTGGAGTCCCCACACAGAGTCCCCATTGGGGCACTGTCTAGTGGAGCTATGAGAAGAGGGCCACCATACTCCAGACCCCAGAATGGTAGATCCACCTACAGCTTGCACTGTGCACCTGAAAAAGCAACAGACACTCAGTGCCAGCCCATGAAAGCAGGGAGTGGAAGGGGTGAAGGGAGCTGTACCCTGCAAAGCTACAGGGGTGGAGCAGCCCAAGGCCATGGAAGCCTATCTCTTGCATAAGCATGACCTGCATGTGAGACATGGAGTCAAAGGAGATCGTTTTGTAACTTTAAAGTTTAATGATTACCCTGTTGGACTTTGGACTTTCATGGGGTCTGTAACCCCTTTGTTTTGGCCAACTTCTTCCATTGGAACTGGTGTACTTACCCAATGCCTGTATCCCCATGGTATCTAGGAAGTAATTAACTTGCTTTTGGTTTTACAGGCTCATAGGAGGAAGGGACTTGCCTTGTCTTGGATAAGACTGTGGACTTGGACTTTGGGTTAATGCTGGAAACAGTTTAAACTTTGGGGAACTGTTGGGAAAGCATAACTGTGTTTTGAAACGTGAGAAATATGAGATTTGGGAGGAGCCAGGAGTGGAATCATATGGTCTGGCTATGTGTCCCCACCCAAATCTCATCTTGAATTTTAACCTGGATTGTAATCCCTACGTGTTGGGGGAGGGACCATGTGGGAGGTGATTAGATCATGGGGGTGGTTCCCCTATGCAGTTCTCATGACAGTGAGTGAATTATGAGATCTGATGATTTTATAAGGGGCTTTTCCTGCTTCTTTTAGCACTTCTCCTGTGCCATATGAAGAAGGACATGTTTCCTTCCCCTTCTGCCATCATTGTACATTTCCTGAGGCCTCCCTAGCCATGCACAACTCTGTGTCAATTAAACCTCTTTCCTTTATAAATTACCCAGTCTTGGGTATGTCTTCATAGCAGCAGGAAAATAAACTAATACAGTAAATAACAAACTAATACATGTACTTGCTCCCAGACTCTTAGAGGGGTAGTGTTGGTATAGAAAGAATGGAACCCCGACACCTCCACTGCCTCTTGTGGAGCTTTTTGGGACTGAACTCAATGTGCTCACACTTTCTCCAAAGCCAGCCAATAACACAAGGGAGCTACGTGCCCTGTCACCCTCTACAGTCCTTCCAGCTGCCATGCTTCTGCTAAACCTTAACTACTGGTTGTTCTCTTAGGGTTTCACCCCTCTCTTCTCTCTTGTTCCTGTTCTCTGATCCTACAGTGCTCTCTCTCAGCTCAATCTCAGCATGTCTAAAAACTGCCCATTTTAAAAATAGGCAGTGTAAACATCATCAAGCTTCCCTTGATTTTCTCAGCTAGTTGGGATCTCTTTCCTACAGCACTTTGTAATTCTAACGATCGATAATTATCACTTTCAGTTTTGCAGATTTCTGGAAACTCTGATTTTAGTTTCCGTCACTGTTTTGGAAGCTTCACATGATCATTTTAGTCGTGCACATAGGCCTAGGGCGGCATCTAAATGTGACCTTTACTGCATGCATCAGGGCCTGTTATCCAGCCTTTGTAGCTCCTGGTGGCATGGCTTCTGCCTTTGCCCTGCTCCCCTGTAGCTATGTGGGTGTTTTCTTGGTTCCTCTGCTAATAATTTGCCATTATATACGAGTGACCCATGCTGCACGCTCTGCCTAGGAGCCTTCCCCAACTAATGCTGATTCATCATGCACACCTTGTCTTAAAGCTTTCTCATCGGACCTAGCCAGAACCCTTCCTTGCACCCCACAGCTAAATTACACCATTCCTGTTCTTCTCTTTCATCTTAACCTATTCCTGACTTTCATGGTATTTTTCACAATTGCTATATGTATGTTAAACATAATAAATACACACACGCATACATATACACATACATAAATACATATATATCAGTGCAGAAACAAATATCTGAACCCACTTACCCACAAATGATTTTTTTTTTGAGACAGTCCTGCTCTGTCACCCAGGCTAGAGTGTGGTGGCACGATCTCAGCTCACTGCAACCTCCGCCTCCAGGGTTAAAGTGATTCTCCTGCCTTGGCCTCCCGAATAGCTAGAATTACAGGCATGCACCACCATGCCCAGCTAATTTTTTGTGTTTTTAGTAAAGACAGGGTTTCACCATGTTGGCCAGGTTGGTCCCAAACACCCGACCTCAGGGGATCCACCTGCCTCAGCCTCCCAAAGTGCAGGGATTATAGGTGTGAGCTACCCCACGATGAGATTTTTGAAAGTAAATCCTTGTAACCAAAATCAATGTAAAAAAATTTTTTAATCTTTATTTTTTGAAGGACATTGAAAGGTACTCAATGGTGACCCCAGCAACACTCTTCACAATCTCTCTTCCTCACTGCCTTATTTTCCATAGGCAGGTTCAGCTCCTCTCACTGGCCGACAACTCAAGCCTGTCTGCAGGCCAGCCCAGGAAACGATGGAGTCCCTGGAAGTTTCCTCCTCATTCTTCTCATGGCCTTCTCCTGTGCTTTCTCCTTGATCTGCCCAGCCCTTCTTCTTATTCTGTATCACACACAGCTGGGGCTGCAGGCTTTGCACTGGGGAGAAAGGGCTAGAAATGGGTGCAAAGACAAAGGGGGCTTCGGAAAAAGGGAAGACAGTGGGAGTGCTCTGGGCCACCACGGTTCCTTAACGCTTAGCCTTTCTCTAGACTGTGAATCCCATGAGGGCAGGGCCCAGGTCTGTTCTGCTCACGGCACATACACCAGCGAGGTGCCTGGCCCCAAACAGGTGCTCAATGCTATCAGCCAAGTGAATGAATGAAGGAACAATTTTGAAGTCATTAAGCTGATGAGTAAATGTAGTACTGAACAAAAGACACTAGAGGGAGATCAGAGAAGGACTTCAGCAACATGAGCACAGCAGAAGCCAAGATTCAGCCGCATTTGATAGCGTGGAAATTTCATTTCTGCTTCTTTGTCTTCAATTTAAAAAATTTTAAAAATAAAATAAAAGTGAATTTTATACAGAGATTTATTTATTTATTTATCTGAACTGAATCCGACACTAATCCTTTCTGTTTTTAATATAGGTCATGATGGCCCTACCATTTGTAGAATAATGTTAAGACTGTAGATAGACATTCTAAAACGATAGTTATTTGAGTAAAAGCCTCATGGAATGGCCCTGCATAAAGAGATTGGCTAGAAGGAACACCACTACAGTCATCTGAAAGGATGAATCATGGACACTTGAAAGAGTGCTGGGGAGGAAAACACTGGGCCCAAAAGGAAATTGTCAGACCGTCCTGACAATTTCATAAAGTATATAAGAGAAACAGGAAATTATTTAGGAACAAACAGAATAAAGTTCATGTGAAGCTCTGGGACTGACTGAGTGTTACACCTGAAACGGGTATCCAGGCTTACTCTTTCTTCAACCTTGACAATCCCCTCTCTAGACATTGTTTGTCCATCTGTAAAATGGACTAACAGTAGTACAGAGTTTGTAGGATGAGGAGGTGGCAAGGATTAAAGGAGAGAGTGCACATAAGGACTAACACAGGGACTGGACCAGCACACACATAGTCAGAATGTACTGTGTGTGCTCCGTCGATGCCTTTCCATGAAATTGATTAAGTTTACTAATATTTGCCTGCCTCAGCCATTTCCTCTCTTGGGCTCTTTTTTAATGATTACGCTGCACTAGACATTTTTTCTTGTACTGTACTTCAAAATATTTGGGACCTGGAGCGCTTTGTGGGCAAAAGTACTCTTCTCTTATTGTTGAAATCCTCCTGTGTGTTGGTTCATCTGGAGAAATAGAAAGACAAGGCCCCTGCCCTTGTTTATGAAGAAGCATAGAGCACAGTGCTACTCTAAAATCATTTCAAATTGCATGCATAGGTGCTGATGGAAGCGTGCGATGTCGAAGTTATACAAGCATTTTAAGTTCAGCCACATTCACGCTGCCATTTATAGTAAATCCTCCTTCTTATATTTGCTTTATTCTTGGCTGCAGTATTGCTGGATCTGGCAGAGACTCTGATAAGCAAATGGCCAAGAGCTATCTTGACAAGGAAGAGGTGACCTTGAGGCAGAAGAGAGGAGGAGAGCTGAGAGAAACAAGTAGATAGAATTGCAGAATGGTTGAAAAGAAAAAAAAGGAGCTTTTGCCTTTACTTTCAGCTTGTCTGTGTTAGTGCTCTTTTTCCTCTGGATAGATAAGTCTACCGGAAGTTCATTTCCAGATGCTTCAGTAAAAAATTAAGTTGACTCATAGTAATAAAAGAGATGACAGGAAAGTCTTCAGTGGGTGCAAAAGCCATCATGATTTGAATGATGAATTCTTATATGAACTTTAAAAATTAAAGATATCCATTAGGTATCACATATATCATTTTGAAAATGATGTGTATTCTGCCTAAATTTGAAAGAGGTGAGGTATCACTTCAAAGATTTGAGTCCACGTAATTTAGCTTTCCATAAATAAGAGTAAATCAACATAAAATATAAAGAGACAATGGCATAGTAAGATCTTACAGCCTTTTAGTTTTAAAGACCTGGGTGGTGGATCTGCTCTATTGTTTTCAGTTGTGTTACATCACAATAAAAAGAGAAAAAAAGGACCTTAAAAAATGAATCAAATTAATCATTTTAAAAAGTTCTAAATTGGAAGTCACACTGAAACAAATGAAAAAGGAATTAATTTGGAACTACTAGAAAAATAACATGTAGCCAGTATTGGATTCAATTCAATTTCAAATCAGAACAACTTTTATGTTTTACCATCTGCCTCACCAAGAGCCTTATAAAATTTGAACACTACAGTCTTTAGAGATTCACATATGAGGAAAGCTTTTTAAAGACCATTTGATGAATATAAAACCAGAATAAATAATGTTGGTTCTTGTCCATAAATAGAGTTAGTAATTAGTGATTACTAAAAAGATAAGTCACATCTGTCATATCATGGGCTCAGATATTCCATTTGAACTTCTGCCCTCTACACAGTCCCACAGTAGTCCAGTTTAATGGTCTTCTGACCCAGGGTAGGTAAGCAAGTTGAGACTCAGAGAAGATAAGCTAGGGTACTGTGCTCCTCCAACTTGTAAATTGAAAAAAAAAATGGAATTGAAGCTATGGCTCTAAACTGTTGGATTTAGGCATAATACTTATTTTTAAAAATAGGCAAGGAGCATGAAACAGAAACAACTTATTTCTGCAAAATGCTTGTGTTCCAGTTGTGTATTGAGATGAGCTAGATAGAAGGCAGGTAATATTCTTTTTTTTTTTTTCTTTTTTTTTTTTTTTTTTTTTGAGACGGAGTCTCGCTCTGTCGCCCAGGCTGGAAGGCAGGTAATATTCTGATAAAGTAGACTCTTTACTTTCTTCACATATATATGCATGCATGTGCATATTTGTAGAGACTTGAATCGCTTGTTGGCTTTACTTTATGGATAAGATATGAACATTTTATTTGCCCATTTAGTTGACTCTTCTGCAGCTCCTCTGGACATACACTGTAACATATGTGCCTTTACAGTCCTGTGTCTTGCATGTTGCCTGCTTAATGAGTTAGTGAATGCTTAAGGAAAGGAATCCTTAACAAGGAAAAAGGAAAAAGAGAGACAAGATGCTAATACTAGAAAAAAAGTAATAATATCATTGAATCAAAGTTTTACCAAAGCTAATCATTTTAAGAAAATATAAGATTCTACAGGAGACAGGATGCTTAGGTGGTAGACACTAATAAGACAAATCCAGCTACTGTCTGCACAGTCTTGACAGAAATGCCTTCAGGTTTAAAAATACTAAATCACTAACTGTTTATTGATTTAACATTTAACATGTGCCAAGTACTCTGACTGGGTTAAAATGTCAAACAAGACATGGTCCTTGCCCAAATGGAGTTCACAGGAAACACTCGAGGAAATAAATAAATGGACTATAAAGTGACAGGTGCTGAGATAGTCCCTGCACTACACAAAGGGAGGCTCAGAGGAAGGGGCACCATCTATCAGGGTGGGGTTGGGAGGGGTAGGCTCTGACTTTTGACAACCCATTCCCATTACCTCCTTTCAGACCGTGAGAAAGGTAACTCTTCAAGAGTGATACCTAGTTTACATTCTTGCTACCCTGTTAATAGAGCCTGCCTTCCCTGCTAAATGAGAAAATAAACCAAGAAAATTATTTCAAGAACTAGGTCTTGAAATTAAACCAGTATGCAACTCGGGGAGATGTAGCCAGGTTAAGAAGAAGGGGTTATTCCAACACAAAGACTCTGAAACAAGAAATAGCACTTCATGTTTGAAGACGATATAGTGTTTAGGGAGTGGAGCTGAGATGAGAGAGACAAAAAGTAAAGCTAAGTGTACTTGTAAAATAAAGTTTATGGCTTGGAAAGATGGGATTGATTATGGCAACACTTTAAGGTCAAGAAAACAAATTGGGCACGTTGTCTTAAGAGGGCTAAAGTTTAATTAAATTTGATTAAAATATAAAAAAGAATTGATTTCAGCATTTTCTGAATATGGTAGGGCTCATTTGTGTGTCTGGGAAATCTACATAATCTTTCTGGATTTGACATTCTGTCTGCCTGTAAAAACATTGGAAATATGTAAATGACTGATTGTGTCTAAATGTGTCCTCAATTCTGGATATGCTGAAGACATTCTAAAATTTATCTTTACTTGTCTCCTCTTTTTATTTCTTGATATCTAGTTAGGTAACATGCCCTCCTGGTTATGTTCATGGAAGTTATCCTTTTATGTGTAAGAAGCCACCTTCAAAACTTAGTGTCATAATAGATGAAGAAGGAACACTTCCCAATCACTCTATGCAGCCAGAATGCCCTTATCCCCAAACCAAAGACATTCCATAGAAACTCCAGACAAAAGTCCCTTATGAATATAAAAAGCAAAGTATTCAACAAAATGCTAGCAAACCCTATGCAGAAACATATAGAAAGATTTATTCACTATGACCAAGTTGGACTTATCCCAGGAGTATCAGGTTGGTCCAAGACATGAAAATCACTGAATATAATATATCATATTAACAGGCAAAGTATTACAAAAGACAAATTAATAGGTAAAGTAACACAAAAGCCAAATGATCGTCACAGTAGACTCAGAAAAATCACTTGACAAAATATAACTCCCTTTTATGATAAAAACACTCAGTAAATGAGAAACAGAAAGATGCTTCCTGAACCTAATAGAAGTTTATTCCTAAGATGAGGAACAAGACAATACTCTCTGCTCTCAACACTTCAATTCCATAATGTACTGAATGTTCTAGCCAGGGCACTTACATAACAAAATGAAATAAAAGTAATTCAGATTAAAAAATGAGAAGCAAAATTATCTATTCTTAGACAACATGATCTTGCATATAGAAAATTGTAAGAAATCCATATAAAATGTAGAACCAATAAATGAGTTCTGAATGTTTACAGGATACAATATCCACAAACAAAAATCCATTGTGTTTCTACAAACCAGCAATGAACAACTTAAAAATGAACTTACAAAAACAATTCTAAATACAAATAGCATCAAAAAGAACAAAGTGCTTAGGGATAAATTAACAGAACAAGTGCATGATTTGTACATTTAAAACTATGAACTATTGTTGAGAGAAATTAAAGAAGCCCTCAAAGGGAAAGGCATTCTTTTCCATGGATTGAAAGACATTATATTGGAAAGATGGCAATGCTCCCCCAAAGTGGCCTACAGATAAAATGCAATCCCTATTAAAACTATAGCTGGACTTTTTGCAGAAATTGACAATCTGACCTTAGAATTAACACATAAATGCAAGATATCCAGATAACTAAAAACTATCTTTAAAATGAAAACAAAATTATAAGACTGACATATCCCAATTACAAAATTACTACAAAGCTACAAAATAATCAAAACAATGTGATACTGGCATAAGGCTGGATATATAAATCAATGAGATATAATTAAGAGTCCAGAAATAAACACTTATATTTATGATCAATCAATTTTGACAACAGTGCCAAGACTATTCTATGGGAAGAGTCTATTCAACAAATGTTGCTGAAACAACGGAATATCCATATGCAAAAGAATGAACTTGGACCCATACTTCATACCATATACACAAATTAACAAAAAAATAGACCATGGAACTAAATGCAGTGGCTACAGTTTTTAAATTCTTAAAACACAGGAGTAAATTTTTGTGACCTTGGATTAGGCAATGGTTTCTTAGATATCATGCCAAAATCACAGTGACAAAAATGGTAATTTGAGCTACATTAAAATTGATAATTATTATGTTTTATAGGTCATCATCAGAGCAGTGAAAACACAACACATAGAATGGGAGAAAACATTCAAAAATTTTATATCTGATATAGGACTTTTTTCTAAAATATTTAAAGTGACTCTTGCAATATAACAATAAAAAGACAACCCAATAATAAAGGGTAAAGGACGTGAATCATATGTTTCCAAACAACATAAACAATTGATCAATAAGGAGAGAAAAAGATGATCCAAATCATTAGTAATTAAGAAAATGCAAATCAAACCTACAATGAGATAAACTTCATACCCATAACTGGCTAAAATAAAACGTCAATCAGACAATAACAAGTGCTGACAAGGATATGAAGAAATTGAAACCCTAATACACTGGTAGTAGAATTGTAAAATAGTATGCCCTCTTTGGAAAAATTTGGCAGTTCTGCGAAATTTTTAATGTAGTGTTATCACGTGATCCAGAATTCTACTCCTATGTATAGACCCAGGAGAACTGAAAACATATGTCCACACAAAAACCTGAACATGAATGAATATTCATAGCATTCTTCACAATAGCAAAAGAGCTAGAAACAACCTAAGTGTCCATCTACTGAAAGAAACAAACAAAATGTGGTATACCCATTGCAATTGAGTATTATTCAATATAAAAAGGAAGGACATATTGATCCATGCTGTCAGATATATAAACCATGAAAATATGCTAAGTGAAAAAAGTTAGACACAAAAGGCCACATATGGTATAACCTCATTTGTACGAAATGTCCAGAATTGGTAAATCCCAGAAACAGAAAGCAGATTAATGATTTCCAGAGGCCTTCAGATTGTTCTGGGTTTTGTTTCCAAACTAGCTCATCTACAACTGTCTACCTCCATACTAAACAATCCATTAGTATAAAAGTGAAATACGCATATTTTTCTTTCCTGACCTGTTTATACCATTCTGTATTGTGAATTTTCTTACCCACCTTCCTTTCTCTGCACAAATGCAGTCCCTTATATCCTGAAGTAGAACACATCACTCTGTCTTCACTGCTCCCATGGCACTGCATAAACACTTTGATTTGGCATAAACACTTATGTTTACATGTGGCTGATGATTTTCACAAGTGCCCTCCTTCCTCCAGGAAACTATAAGTTACTTGAGAGTGGGACACATGCATTTTTCTTCATTATCTTATCCAAGTCAACTTTTATGAAAACATTTTGTACACACTAGTCTTTCTATAACTAGTTTTTAAATTGAATATTTGAAGAGTAGCATTTTCAAGTAAAAATGTATATACAGTAGACATTAAGGAGAAAACATGTTCACTTTCTTTGTATTTTGTGCCTAAGTACAAAACAAGTTAAGACTCTTTCAGAGCGAAATGCAATGTTCTGAGTAAGCGCAATCCCCGGTTTTCCTGGGGATTCGAATTCCTTCACCATCGTAGTCTATGCTTGAAATCATCGAGAGAACTGTGGATGGTATCAACTCCATATTCTCTTTTAGCTCTTCCTCGGCCGTTTAGTGATGGGTCATATGATGATGACTTGGGAACTGAACCATGGGCAGTAATCCTTTTTCCCTTGTTCGTGTATAAACCACGCTGCCGGTGAATTAAGCTGAAGATTTCTCTCTGTGCCCTTGAAATGTGCTCCTAGGGAATTAAGGCATTCTTGGTCTGGAATTTGAATTCCTTCCTTACTGCTCTAAGTGCATTAAATGTTGCAGTATTTTAGAAACTACTTATTGTTTTAAGAAGGTTGTTAGAATCCATCAGTAAGTCAAAGCAGTACAAAAGTGTAGAAAGAAAGGAATTGTTAGGACCTATTCATTTATCTCCCTACGTCTTAATTGAATATGAAAAGAGGAAAAGGTCAGAGGAAAGATAAAGTATTGTGTACATTGTCCACACTGTAACAAAAGTGATCTGCTTGAAATTTCCTTTCATTCTGGGGCTTGAAACCTGCGAATGGCTCCTTCCCCAGTATCCCCAAGATAAAGTTCAAATTGCTCCAAACCATTTTGTGACCTGATCTCTGATTCCATCTCAGTGTCCTCTCTCATCTGTTTGCTCATCCTTAACTCCAGACTCCAGCCATCCCTGAACATCTTCATTTACACAAAAGGAAGCTGTTTTCCATTCTTTCTTGCCACCGAGTGTGCCATTTTCTTCAGGTTTTTGTTTTCCTAGAGCAGTGATTCTCAGACTTAGTGTTTAGCAGAGAGCCATCTGGAGGGCCTGTGAGATCCCCAAGAGCGCTGGACCCACCCCAGAGATTTGGATGCAGCCCTGTTTGATGGGAGCACAGAATCTGCATTTCAAACAAGTTCTCTGGGGATGCTGCTGCTGGTCCAGGGGCCACGGTTAAAACCACAGGACTGCATCACTCTTTCATACGCCCTCATTCCCTCATTCCTTCTATGCATTCTGCAGATTTCAGCTATGATAGCTCATTTCAGCCAATCTTATTTGATCCCTAGCAGTTGGGCAGAGGCTTTTCTGTGTATACCTGAGTAGTTTTACTCCTCCTCACTATAGCACTGAACAACCTGTTGTTGTAAATGCCTAAATAATGTCATTGAAATGGTAAGCTCTTCACAGGTACGGGCTTTCATCTGTGCCATGGTTGTCTCTCAGGGCCTAGTGCCTGCCTGATAGTACAGTCTCCATAAACAAAATTACTAAAGGAAAATAAAGAAGAAATAAATAGAGACTAGGATCCATGTTCAGTCCATCTTGTGTTTTCTCTAATACCAGCAAACGCTGTGCATAGCAGAAGCCCTGCACACATAACAAGGGATGGTTTTACAGGGAGCCAAGGACAAGACTTACTGAGTACCCAATAGATGTACTTATTTATTCTATTGATGTTTCCTAGATATATCATACCCAGATAATCGATTGTCTTTCCCTTACACCATCCCCTTCCTTTTCCACTCTGCTTCTTCTTCCTCCACTCTCCTTTCCCTCACCAGATAGGCAGATGGCCTCACCAAACACCCAAGCACCTAGAAAGCTGGTCTTCTCTCTCACTTCCCAATCCTGCCAGTCTTCAAGCTATTGCTTCCTGAGAATTTACCCAGTCTGCTCTGTCTTCACTACCATGACTCAATTTCAAGCCCTCATGCTCTCTCCCCTGGACTATTATAGGAGCTTTTTAAATAAGTTTCCTTGCTGTCCATCTTGTCTCCCTCAAATCTGTTCTTCACAGAGCATCACGATTTAACTCCTCTGTTAAAAATCTGCTATCCACTCCCCATCTGCTGCAAGAGTGGTCTTCATTTTTCAGGTCAGGGATCCCTTTGAGTAACTACAGACTCTCTCCCAAGATTCTATGGAAGAGATGCATGTAATTCAGGACAGAAGAGCACCTGCAAAAAAGAGGAGAAAAGACTTCCCAGCAGGAGACACCTCCTGCAAGGCATTGTGCATTAAGACTGTGGTGGCAGTGGCTGTCCTAGAACATTTGCATTGCAGATGAGAAGCTGCTAGAGTTGAGCCTGTAGAGACAGACAGGAGCACCTCACAGAGGACATTGTATATGGTATGAAGGAGCCATTGCCTGGGCCAGCCACCACCTCTTCCATGCCTCCATCTTGCTTTGTCTAAGCTTACGTTTGCATTTTCCACACTGTGTTATAGTGGCTGATTTGCTGTGCTGGGAAATCACTTTAAGGGCAGTGACTGCCCCTTATTTGTATCCATATGCAAAAGTACAGTAGCCTGTCAGTCAATAGTTGTTGAATGAGTGAATGTAGAATGAACCAATGCTTCTGAGTTACCTTAGTTTTACACCCTTAGAAATCCTTTTCTCACTGTGTCTGTTGCTGCTATGTTAGGAACTCTGTCACTATTTACAACACTTAAACAATAGATTATAATTTGCATGCAGTAAAACACATATATACTACATGTACAATTCAACCAATCTTAATGTATCTCTCTATATTTATACGTGTGCAACCACCACGAGATCAAAATATGAAACATTTCCATTTGTTCTAGAAAGTTCCCTAGAGCCCTTTTCCTATCAATAGCCCATTTGCCTGATTTCTATTATCATAATTTTTTCCTGTTTTTGGATTTTATGTAAATAAACAGAGTCATAAATTTGACACTCTCAAAATATCCCCCATCAGATTCATGTAAGACTTTTATTTTGGTGATACTTCTCCACAACCATCGCACTACAACTTACCTTAATCCACTCAACTAACACTTACATATTTGGCTTTAGAGATGTATATCAATATCTTCTGTGGTCTGGAGATAATTCTTATCATATTAGCACCTTAGATGTAATTGCCAGTATTCATGATATGTTAAAAAATTATTAAATGTCTACTAAATTTGCTACAGCTTAGCTACTTCACGAGACTCTAAAATTCGGTTCCCTGCTATACTCTTAAATTTCAAATATAAACATATATACCTCTTCCCTTGATAAAATCTTACTTCCGATCTGTATCTTTTCTTGACACTTTCCTTCTCTTGACACTTTTGGTTGACTGGGTCTGTATGTTGAAATGTCTGCCTTGATAGATACTCGAGGGTGTAAAAGTAAACATCAATGTAGCAGCATCATGTCAGCATTTTGAGAGAAAGCCCACGCAGGATGTAAATTAGCAGTAATAGGATGTAGCATCAGGAGGTATCACAGCGATACATCAGTGCAGCTAACCTGGCCAAGAAGAAAGGGGAAGGGACTGATCGGGAGGCAGTTTGCCCGCTGTGACCCTTGAACACTTATTTTCTACTCATTTTACACAACCCCTTCCCTTCTCCACCTTCTCCTCTCCAGATGTCTCTCCTATGTGTGTCCTCCCCTCTCCCTCTCTCTCCCTATATACACAACACCAACATGTAGGGTTGAAGTTCATCAGGCAAGGGACGATGCGCGGTGAGGAAGGTAGAAAAAATGTGACAGACAGAAGAAAGGCCTGTGCTAGGAGTTGAAGGCAAATGGCATACTGGAAACCTAAGCCTAAACCACCTAGCAGGAGGGGTATTGCCCCATGATGAAAGGTATGGTGGACTCTGTAGCCTGAATGACTTGGTCAACAGAGTCATGCTCCTTTATGGCTGAATGATCTTGGACATCTTGCTTAGTCTTTGTGCCTCAATTTCCTCATCTGTTAAAAAAGTATTAGTACCCACTACATTGTTCTGATTCTTAAATGAATCGATGCCTATGAAGATATTAGAATAATGCTTACCACATAATAAGCACTTTTTAATTGTTTGCTATATAAGTTGAAGCCTTAAAAAATGGAGGTCATTTCCTAGAAATATTCACTTAGAAGCTTATTTATAACTTTCTTACTTTTTGAATAATAAATCTGAATATTTATTCTGGAAATGCTAAAGGGAATAACACTAACGTATTTATTTTTTGACTACCTGAGTTTTAGGGCTGCTCTGATGTTTGATGTTGAAGCCACACTGAAGAAGAGAGGAAGCAGGGATGAACCGTACTAAGAGCATGCATTCATGTTACTGTTTTCAGGCATCCCAGACTCATTCTCTTGATGCAAAGTCTGTGGGTGGAACTTCTGGATTTTGGGCTTCTAGGGATGAGAGGTTTCCAGTATTGGCAACATTAGATAAATTAAGGAAATATTTCATTGGGTCAGATCAAGTCCGCCTTTATGAGGAAACTGTGGAAAGAAGGAAGCAGAGATAGGGATGGAGATTTCAAGACAGGAAGAGGAGGACTCACCTTTTGGTCGATGATGGGATGTGCTGTCCACTTCCCACTTGTCACTGCCTCTGCTCTGTCCCCAGTTCCTCGCCCTTGGGGGCCTTGAGTGGCCTCCACTTCCCAAACACACTATCCTCTTTATTTCTCCTGCTCCAATAATTTCCTATGATATTTATGCATTTCAGATCTAAACATCCCACTCCTCTGCATTAAAAGCTTCCTTGTCTCTATATGACTCATGAGAAGGAACAGAGCCTCCCATCCCCACCCCGCAGCCTGGCCTCTACTTACCTCTCTAACTCACCCCTCAGCTGGCTGTGCCAGGTACTATCCTTTAGCCTTGCCAAACATTTCTGTTTATTTCTTGAACATGTCATGAAGATACCACACACCTCTCTTCTGCCCACCTGCTTTGCCTAATCTCTTCCTACTCATCCTCTGGTGTGTGCTAGGCACCACATCTTCAGAAACACACTGCAAACCCTCAAGCTTCGGGTGCCTGCTCCATAATGCCATGCATTTTCTAGTGTAGTCTCTGTAATTCTGTTTCCCAGTGTATAATCTTTGTAAGCTCCACAGGGTAGGGTCTAGGTCTGATTCATGACTGTTGCATGTTGAGTGCTCAACAAAGACTTCCAGGGCTGATAGAATTCTATGGTAGTCCCCCCACTTATTTGCCGTTTTGCTCTCTGCAGTTTCAGTTAACCACCGCCAACTGCAGTCTGAAATATTAAATGGAAATATCTAGAAATTTCCATTTAATATTTGTATTCTATTTCTAGAAATTCATTAATTTTAAATTGCATGCTGTTCCATGCATGGAGTAACATGATGAAGTCTCATGCCATCCAGCTTCATTTCTTTCTGGACATGAATCATCCTTTTGTCCATTGTATAAGCACTACATGCTTCCTGCTCGTTAATCATCCACGTCGTCTACTCCTGACATCCAGTCATCGACATTGTCGTGGCTCAGTGATCCTGGGCCATCTGAAGCAGATGATCCTCTCTTGGCTGCGGTGTTAGGTCAATAGTAGCCTGCTCCATACCAATGCCTACGTCATTCCCCTCACATCAGGCATCAGTAGGCATTTTATCATCTCACATCATCACAAGAAGAAGAGTGAGTACAGTACAGTAAGATATTGTGAGAGAGAGACAATGAGAGACAGCACATTCACCTAACTTTTATTATAGTATTTTGCTATAATTGTCCTGTTTTATCATTGTTGCTCTTAATCTCTAAATTAGACTGTGCCTAATTTATAAACTAAACTTTATCATAGGAATAGTATAGAAATGTATAGAAAAAAAAACAGTGTATATAGGGCTCCATATTATCTGTGGTTTCAGGCATCCACTGGGGATCTTGGAAAGTGTCCCCCACAGATTGGGAGGATACTGTATAAAGTTTACTTGTTTAGTACCTGGTTCATGGGTAAACATGGCATAATTACTGTGAAGGGGTTTCTACTAGTCATTGATACCTGCAAGACTCTAGGAAAGGCAGTGATGTCTTCAAGGCAAATCACATAATAAATATTTTCATGAATATAAAGATAGCATTAGATCAATACAACATCAGGGGTGTGTGAAATAGTCACATCGTGATGGTTGGAATTGTACTTGTTGAGCACCTAGCTTGTACAGAAGAACCCTGGGCGCTTGGCATTACAGCTGCCATTTCTTATCACAGGAATTTGAACCTCAACCAGGTGACCTGACCTTTAGGGAGTGACAGATACAGGATTCATATCCAAGGAAGTTTACTGAAATAGAAGTAAGGAGGGACAACCCACTAGAGGAGCCTTGGTCAGGGAAAGGATGTCCCAGTCTTCTACGGTTTCATTAGCCTCATGCACTGTGGCCAGAATTTATCTGTGTCTGTTGCTTTACTCTGAGAAGTCCTTCCAGTTATTTATGGGAGTGTGAAGTATGGAGAGAGAGACAGGGAGAGGAGGAAGAGAAAAGGAGGAGGGGGGAAGGCAGATGTTGGTGGGGGATGGAAAAGAGAGGGATGGTGGGGGATGGACGAGAGGAAGAGGAGGTAAGAGGAGAGGCCAAAATAGGCTAAGAGAGATTCTGATGGGAAACATGAAGTCGTGGATCATGAATCAGAGACATGGATCAGAGCACGGACCACACTCACAGAGCATCCTGGCACTGGTTTCCAAAGCCCCACTATTCAAAAAGCAATGGACGGAAAGCCTGATATCATCCTGCAAGGGCAGTGGAATTGTAACACAGGAGAGGAACCAAAGAGTTCAAGGACTCTAAGCTTTTATAAGCTGCACATATGCCCATTTGAGAGAAAGAGTGAGAGAGAGAAAAGGAAACAAATTTTCTCTTGGAGAAGAAAAGAGAAAGTCTCCAGGCTTATCACCCTGAAATATAAGCCCATGGGCCTGGGAGGTAATTCTCCAAATTGCTTCAGAGCTACACACACGACGTCCAGCTTCCAAGGTATGCTTTTATGTAATCACCATTTAACCAAGGCTGCCAATGCTCTTTCCTCTGACAGCCCAAACTGTGCAGATAGGAGAAAATATTTATGGAGAACAATATCGTAACAATGAGGGCTACTTAAACTTATCCAAAAGGCCTGAGACTTCAGTTTGGAGAAATAATTTAATGTCATTTGTGAATTTGGATATTTCAGTGTACATTCTTTTTCTAGAACACCTTAAAATATTGTTAAATTTTGGGAACCTCTCTAGTGACTATATTGTATCCATTGTCACTCAAAGAAAATTAGCAACAAGGGAATTCATTTAGAAGAAGAAAGTCAAACTTGCAGCCAGATCTCCCTATGATCCGTTTTAATGGCGCCTTCATGGGGGATATTGAAAAACAATATACACTCAGTCTACTTGTACCTACATGCTTGAATGAAGAAGGGGCTATACTCCACTTCATTTCTTTCTTCTTCTCCTGTCATGTATGGTAAGTTATGTTTACTTAAGTGTTCAATAATCCTGCCTTTAATAAAATATTCCTCAAGACATTATATGTCATGCACCAGAAAATGCTTTAGAGCAATTCTAATTCTCTGGCTCTCCCTTTGTTGATCTCTGAATGTTCACTAATGTTTTGGACTTCATAGGAAATAGGAAAAGTAGAAGGTCTGAGACTCAAATAACGAGTTACCTACCTAGGAAGAGCCTTCCCTATGATAACTAGTTAAGAAAAATGCAAAGCATTGCATTATAAATGCTGGATTGACTGGTACATGAAAAAAATGAATATAAGCTTTAGAGAAGGTCAGGAATAATTTAAGCAATAAAAAAATCAAGAACAGTTTGTAGATTAAATGGGCTTGAAGTAAATTTGAAGAATGCATGGAATTTGAATAGGTAACTTAGTGTGATTAAATTGTAAATAAGAGCATGATTCAACTAAAGAGGCATATTTTGTTTAAAAAATCCATGTATATCAATGGGAAAAGTATGAAGGAGAGGCTTCTTATTTAATTGCCTCACAATTCCTTTCATCCTTTTTGGGAAAATTAAGAATATCTTTTAGATCATCAAAAAACTTTCAGATATTGTCTTCTAAATGACAAATGTATAGAGATCTGTTCAAACATTTCAGCCTGGTGTCCCAGCTGTCTTATTTAGGCCAACAGTAATCGCTAAACTTGCTTCGTCATCAATAAATTTTTTTTTATCTGCCTATTCCTGGTAACTGGTTGCAGTATACTATTTATTCCCTCAAACTGATTGAAGAACAAGGCAAAGAATACTTAATTATTCATGTGCTCATATTCATCCATATCACACATGTGCACATAAACCTAGGTAGAGTCATACAGACATAAAACAAAACGGTCTGTTTCTTATTCACCATTAAGATATGCAAACTTTTGTCCAAGGTCAAACACCTGAAATGGAAAAGTCTTCCTAGATAGTTGTAACGCATATGCTGGAAAGATTTCAAAGTGGTTGTTCGGATTCAAGTGAAAAACCTTACAAATGCTTTACAAATGTCCTGCTTTAGATACCCAGTTTAACTGGTCCTCACTAGAATTTAAAACATTTCATTTTGATTAGGGAAAAAAATCACCAAAGGAAGTGGGTGGCCAAATGCCCTTAAGGAGCAATTAGAACATCCCATATAGCCTGAGTGTGTGTGTGTGTGTGTGTGTGTGTGTGTGTGTGTGTGTGTATCTTCATATATCCATATCAATGCACATGCATGTATTTGCTATTATATTAATCTATATTGTATTACAGAGAGTAATTTTCAGTCTTTTTGAAGCAGTTTTTAAAATTGCATTTCTTTTCTACATCAGTACTCTATGAAAGTATTTGAATAACCAGGGATATTTTCTAGCCGTTATATGACAAATTCACTTTTAGTCACTAAAGCAGGGCTCAGCTGGGTTAGCCCTCACTGCCCTCTGACATGGAGAGGGCAGTTCCTATTAACCCCTACTTCTTTCCAACTGTGCAAGTCTGTATTGTAAATTTCTTCTCATTTACTTCACAATTGCCCACATCTAACTTGAATGTCCGTTTGTTCTGGTTGGAGAAATGTGAGACTACGTGAAGCTGAAGTGAACACACAGCCCTGTGGAGTCCTGAATCCGAGAGCTAGTGGTTTCACAGGCAGGCCAAAATCAGGAACAACCTCCACAGTCACTAGACTGAGATCAGGGACTTTATGAGAGAGTCAAGGATGTTCAGTCATTCAAGGTAGGCTTGATCCTGGTCCTGAGGCACCAGGGGTTGACCAGAGGCTGATTCTATAGCAAGAGCTGAGTGTATTTATGCCTTATTTTTTGACAACTCAGATATTTTCTCCTCTGTAGGCTTCAGCCTCAAAGGACCCTAAGTTATTAGACCGGAGTTATGTTCCCAGGAGAGGTCTTGACTCCATTCACCCAGAAGCAGTCAATATTTGTGATAGAGGAAATTATAAATTTAGCTGTCAGCCATTGTGTGTGAGACACCTGTGGCTCAAGGTCTCTAAATGTGTGTAATTTACTTCATCAAAGGCTAATATTTATAAGCCCCAACCTATTCACAGGGCAGAGGCAATGATGCCCCATCACAGAGCTTAAATTTGCATAACAAAAAACTGTTGTGTGTGATTTATATCTTCATTTAGAATTTTTGTCATGACCTACTGTTAATACGTACCTTTCCCAAATTGGTGATGTTTGCAAACTTTAGTTTTAATTTCTTCATTTAATAAAGCATGTCAATGCAGGCACTATTAGATTAGGAATTATCTGTCAGCAGACTGGCATTATGAAACTACATGTTTTACATTGTCCAAATAGGTTTTAAATGAAAACATTAAGTAGTATCTCACCTGGGGCCTTTTTGGAGCTGTGTCTCATGTATCCCATTTTAAAAGATATTTACTAAGCAATTTCTAACTTTTGAATGCTTATCTCTCATTAGAATCATTGCAGTTTCTTTTTTTGTTTTTGGCTGGGAAATAATTTAGCCTTATTTGAAAAAATCTGGTGTATAATAATGCTAACATTTAAGAGAAAAAAAATCATGTGTTCATATCAGAAATAGTGTGAATAATGAGCAGCTGTATGGTGTATAAAAGAGAAAAAGGGGTTTCTTGATTATTCAAAAATGAGTTTGAAATATTATGCATTCGTATTTGGAAAGAACAATAGTTCATTGTAATAATACTGAAAAATAATAAAATAATTGTGCTTTATGCGTTTGAAAATTTTCTGGAAATGCAAAACAATACCCTCTTTCGAACGCATGGATTTAATTTTGTACTTAATGACCATATTCTGCAAAATAGATAAATTGCTAACCATATATTTAATTTAGCCTTGGTCATTTCTTGCTACTGTCATCAACTCTGATACCATATTTAAAATATAAGATTTAGCCGGGCATGGTGGCTCATGCCTGTAATCCCAGCACTTTGGGAAGCCAAGGCAGGTGGCTCACCTGAGGTCAAGCCTGACCAGCCTGACTAACATGGTGAAATCTCATGTCTACTAAAACTACAAAAATTAGCTGGGCATGGTAGTGGGTGCCTGTAATTCCAGCTACTTGGGAGGCTGAAACAGGAGAATTGCTTGAAACCGGGAGGCAGAGGGTTGCAGTGAGCCAAGATCGCGCCATTGCACTGCAGCCTGGGTGACAGAGAGAAACTCCATCTCAAAAGAGAAAATAAAAGAAAAGAAAAATATATATGTGTGTGTATATATATATATGTATATTATACATGTATATATGTATATTTTATGTATATATGTATATTATATATATTATATATAGCTATATATAATATATATAAAAATATATATTGTATATAATATATATATTATATATTATATATATATATGATTGAAGGAGTCCTGAAATTATTGTTCTGACCACCCAACAGTGAGTTGAGTTTCTCAGGGATGGATATAGAGGAGGAAATTTTAATCAACTTCAAGTTACCATTTTTAAAAAATTTTATGAAGGAAGTAAAGTTAATGGAACCAAAATTATTTTCCTCAGTATTAATGCCTGCATTAGAAATTAATTTTTGTTTTGTAGTGATGAAATATGTAAATAGGTTTAAACATAGTTCTACCAATGTTTAGAGCATGAGTATGTGGTTTCAAAGACAAAAAGATAAAAGGGCTTCTTAATCTGGGGAAATTATATGTAGATACAGTTTATACATAGAAAGCACATTCTAAGTAGTTTAAGAAATCTGTGAATACATTTCTCAGTGTATCCTCCTTCAACTCCTCAAAGTGGATTAGATGTTGGCTCTTGTTGTTTTAGAGGTCTACATTTGTAGTCTTACAGTTTCTAGCACACAACACTGTGCTATCTTGATTGTCTCTATTTCATCTGACGATAAGCACTTTGAGGTCAGGGAGTCAAGTTTCTCTTATAGCACAAAGAGTTGCCAAATGTTTATGGAATACATGAGTCGATGAAAAATAAACACATTTGATAATGAGCCCCTGGAGATGAGATGTTAATTCTCACGGGGTACCTTGGTTAAAGTTCTTATAAGAAATGCCTTAAGTTATTGAAAAAAGTAGGGCTCAAATCAATTATATTTTTAATAACATATTTTCTTTGTCAAGTGCACAACATGCCCCTCTGAGTGTTATGCTTTTTTTCAGTTTAAAGAGTGAATGGTATCATTAAACTCAATTGTCTTAAGATGTTTGCTGAGTTTGTATACATGCAGAGGCATGCAATTTGCAGAAAATTAAGACATTCAGACATTTAAGGAAGGTATATAGGCAACATACTATTTATCCGGCATTGTATTAAGAGAAGGGGGTAGGGACATCTACATGGATACAACCTTACCCGAAGATACATTAGATAACATTCACATAAATTCACAGTTATTTTATGCACATGTAAAGATTTGTATTGATTTAAAGAGGAGAGAGCTTTACTTCCCGTGTTGGAAACAGATATAGTTGTGTCTTACAGTTTTATTGAAACATTACAAAACATCCAAGAAACCCTTTAAAAATACATTATAGATTCCTGGTATATAAAGGCTCTGTTTTAGACATATTTTATTCCTGAAAAGCACCCAAAATGGTGACTTTTGTGACAGTGACTCTCAATAATTAATTGTGGAATCAACGAATAAATGAGGAATCAGCATTCCTGATGAAGGCTGCAAATCCTCATTCTAATTTTTGGAAAAGCCAAGTTAAAGCGTCCATAATCATCATTTGGTACATACATAAGTTTTTTTCCTTGTTAATGTTAATGACAACTTTTCAATGAACACCAACAACAGAAACCAGAAATTTTATGTGCATTATTTCTAACCTTCAGAATAAAGATTAGGAATTATATTTCACATGCATAGATGAGGAAACTGAGGCTTTAGCAGGTTAAATAATGTGTTTACATTGATACTCTGGTAAGTGGTAGAAGCTGGATTTGACATCAGGCTGTTCTGTGCGAAATCTTCAACTTATTATTTTACATCACGCTACTAAAATGTGTTAGAATATTATTCAGTGAAAATGTAATAGTCATGACCCCTTGTTGTATAGATTTGAATTTCATAATCTTCTAGTTTAATAAAAGCACTGCTCTTTGAGTTTTGTTCAGTAAGGAATACAAAATTATGTTACTGCCACAGAAGGATGGGTGCACTTAACATATTGTTCATGTTTACCTTTCCTATAACCTCAAACCTGAAACATAAATTCTAGACTATGTCAACTTGTCTTTGGAGAAGATCATCATAAAAATGTATCAATTTGCAAAAAAAATGTATCACTTTGAATTTGTAAACAACTTAAAATATAACCTTTTGGTTTGCTACCATGGCTATTTCATTATGAGTATGATATTCACTTTTATAACAATAAACCCTAGCAGACCATATATTTCTTTCTGATTCCAATTCAGTCAGATTTACTTCATCCAGTTGGGTTGTACAGTTAAATTCATTGCAGTCTGCAGAGGTAGGAGAATCCTAAATTTTAAAGCTATGCAAACCAAAAGCTTTTTGTGGATAATTTAAGTTTTACATTCTGCTCAGAAAAGCAGAAAGATGTGTTTTGAAATATAATGCAAGTTTTTCATTACTAAGGACAGATCAAAGATCTCTGATTCTAAGAGGTGGCTATTTTAAGCTCCTGCTATCAATTTCCTATTCACACACAGCAACTGGTGGCAACTAAAAATAATCCGCTTTACTACCAGCTAAGAATCTGGTCATATGTGGCTGATGGACAGTGTGCACGAAGAAGATTTAGGATCCTTCTATCCGTGGCTTCTCTCCAGCCCACTCATCAGCTTAGTTTGCTGCCATTTGAAAGCTATTGAAAAGCCATTAACAGGCAGGACCGGGAGAGCCGCACTGCAGCACACCTCCGTGCAGCAGAATGTGGCTGCATGTGAACACCAATTAGAGCTGACTATTCCCGGGATTGTGGTACTCGGGGCTGTGTCAATCAAGGGTGCTACAATAGCACGTGCACCAGTGGTGCCTCAAGACCCACCGGGGAGAGGCTTATCTTAACTCCAGCTGCCGAATGAGAATGAGTTTGAAGCTTTTTGCAGGATCATGGAACAGAGCCTCCATGCAATAGTGCATCCTGAGGTAAACTGTTACCTGAGTAAGGGCTTTAAGTAATGCATTTCCTGGGAACGACAGTTGTGACAGAAGAGAATGCTGGAACCCGTAGCAAGATTCCTGTCTGAGATGGAAAGATGTCTCACTATCATTTTATCAAGTGCTGTAAGTAAGCTTGATATCTTGCTCATGTGGTTATTTGTCTTGTTGAAGTATTATTTTGTGCAGATGCCAAAATTAAGGCAGTTCTCCTGGTATACCACATTCAGATGAGTGACATAGACTGGTGACTTAGAAGAATATTTTACAGGCTGGATATATTTCCTTTTAATTTTAGATTGTGAAATAATTCCAGTGTGATCCAAATGCTAATAGCACAGAGATCTTTAAAACTTCAGCTTTTTAAAAAAAATGATTCATAGACACAGCAACCAGAAAAAAAAAAAAACACCAGAAACACATGGAAAGAAATTACAAAAGCATATTTTTGCTCATTGGCACATGTTAATAAAGTACATAAAAACTAAGTTTATTAATATATGGCTGAGGTCATTTAGCTAGTATTTTAGTCTCAAGTTTTACTGCTTAAGCCTCTATTCAATGCTTTTTGTAAGTGTGATCTTTAGGGTTATCCTTGACTGTAAACTTTTGTCCTTGTATCATTCACCTTGCGGTGCTTAGGGACTCCAGGGACTCTGTACCAAATGCTCTCCACTGATGTTCATATGGTGAAATTTAGTTTGTCACCAGGTTCTCTTTTGGGCTTATCAAGGGTTTCTTTAGCGTCTGAAATTTTGGCAGAATTTTCTGAGCTAGAGAATACTTCCATCTAAACCAATTCTGGATGGTAATAATGAAGAGGAAGACATATTTATCCAAAAATGGCTTGCTGGATATACATTTTTGTCCCCTGCAGCACTTCTGAAAACTTCTGTACATATATATCATGATCTTAAAGTGACAGATGACATTTGCAGAAAATGGTTTTCTTTTAAGCTTAAGGTTTTGCTGCCAAAGGACATCACAATGTTAAATTGAAGCAGCATATTAAGGGAACACATGTGTTGAATGAATCTTGAGCTTTGCACTAAAGGAGACTAAAAAAATAATGATGATTGAGAAGGTGAAAATATTTACCTTTCTCTTATTTTTGGTAGAGAATGTATACAGGAATTAAAACTATGATTAATGGAAATAAAAATGCCTTACTCTTAAGCATTGCCAAGAATGTCATGCTTTCATGTTGCAGAACAATTTCAATTCCCAAAAGGATTCACTGGTCATCTCGTAAGTTTGCAGATTAGCTCTTTAACTAATAAGAATTAGAGGCATGCAGCGTATTTAAGAATTTTGAGAATAGTCTTCTGCTTTAATCTGTTAACTCTTGGGGTTATTTTCTTGGAGAAATAGACACAGGGCAATACTCTGACTGGTTTTTGTATTGCCTCTCGTGTTTTACTGCACTAGCAGAATGTCATTATTTTCCTTGCTGTGCCTCTGCAGAGGAAAAACTCTGCATCTTTCCTACAAGGAACCTGGATGCTCATTAGACACATTGAACACACCTGGTGGAGGGCAGCCATGGAGCATGGGTGGAAGCACAAAGGGACAGTGACATGGACGTGAGAGATTCAGGGAGCAGTTGGTCACCAAACACAATATGAGTCTGCCCTTTCCTGCCTTTTGTTCTGTTTTAGTTGAATTATTTGATTGTAGAATTTCGGAAAATTGTAGACATTTCAGAAAATTGGTGATGTCAATTGGAGCCTGTGAGATATTTCTTTTAGCATGCTAGTATAAGAGATGAAATCTAAAATTAATGAATTTAAACATTCCTGATGCATTTCTGAAAGTAATTAGCAACTACTTACTAAAGATCTGACTGCTTTCTAAGCTTTGAGTGTGACAGTCTATAAAATGGAAAGGAAGCATGAATATTATGAAATGCTAACTTTACTGGAGAAATGGTGCGATGTGTTAAGGAGTTCAGAAATTATACTGCATTCTGTGCTGAACTAGTGAAGGGTGTTTTATGAAAAAAATGCATCTTGAGCTATATCTTGGAAGGATGAACAAAATATAGAAGAAGGCCGGGCGTGATGGCTCACGCTTGTAATCCCAGAACATTGGGAGGCCAAAGCAGGCGGATCACCTGAGGTCAGGAGTTTAAGACCAGTCTGGCCAACATAGTGAAACCCTGTCTCTACTAAAAATACAAAATTTTGCTGGGTGTGGTGGTGGGAGCCTGTAATCCCAGCTACTTGGGAGGTTGAGGCAGGAGAATTGCTTGAACCCGGGAGGCGGAGCTTGCGGTGAGCTGAGATCGCGCCATTGCACTCCAGCCTGGGTGACAAGAGCAAAACCCCAACTCAAAAAAAAAAAAAAAAAAAAAGAGTGAATGCCCTCATGGTATCCTAAGGGTTTATTGATAAGGATCATAATTCATGGTTTAATGGTTGTTCCTGATGCGTAAGATTTTCCCAAATTGTTGTCTCCCATATTGGGCTGATCTGCTGGCGAGGTTCATCGGCCTTCGTCACACTCCATTCCTTCTTCGCCTGTCCTGCATTTCTACCACATATCTGTCTTTCATTCTGAGCCAGATTTATCACCATAGCACGTTCACTTTCAAGCCAGACAGCAATGCAGGAAGTGGATGAATTCCAGGGCAGGAGCAGGACCTTCTGAAATGTGCAACATTAGCATCCCATGTGCTCCTAGTGAATCACAGGAAGCCTTCAGGTGGGATGCTGGGTGACCAATAGCTAATGCTCGCAAGGAACTGTTAGTCACCTGGGAAAATACTCATCATCTAAGGTGAAAAAATTATACGCTTCAAGGTCGAAACTTAATCTAACAGTTGTTATCTCCAGTTTATGATAATATCTGTTACTTTGTAAAACATTTTTACTTTATTTTAGAGAAGGGTTAAAAACTAGAGTGTAAAAATTTACTGTGGAAGCAGGATATAGCAGGAAAGTGTAGGAACACCACAGCAAAAAGTGTGGCCATTTCATGTATCTTGGTAGCTGAGAAGTAGCTTTAGACAGATCTGCAGTGAGAGCCAGTCTCAGAGCCCCATGCCTGTTGAGAGGTAACACATGAACATGACCAGGCCCCAGCTGAGGCGCAAGCAGAAATGAGAAATGGAACTCAAGGGAGTCATGGGCTCACAGAACTTTAAGGCCATGTGAGACTTGAAACTACTTTTGTTTTAATGAACTGAAGCGGAGGCTTGAGGTCTACCTGTGGAGTTCCCTTCACGTGCCTCTGGGGGTGAAGCATTGCAATAACTACACCTGACCTATTTCTCTCCTGGTTCAGCTCTTCTCTAAGCATACGGGTTTGGGGCAGCATTGTTTGCAGCAGGAGGAAGGTTAAAGTTATTTAAAATGAATATTCTCCAGAGCTGAGAATTCATTTACAACACCTAAGAACGAATTGTATCAGAAAATCTGTTACTTTATATGTTGTATTAGTCAGGGCTTTCTTGAGGGGCAGAACTAATAAGATAGATGTATATATAAAGGGGAGTTTATTAAGGAGAATTAACTCACACAATCACAAGGTGAGGTCCCACAATAGGCCATCTGCAAGCTAAGGAGCAAGGAAGCCAGTCAGAGTCCCAAAATATCAAAAGTAGGAAAGCTGACAGTGCAGCCTTTAGTCTGTGGTCAAAGGTCCAAGAGTCCAAAAGCGGAAGAACTTGGAGTCTGATGTTCAAGGGCAGGAAGCATCCAGCATGAGAGAAAGATGTAGGCTGGAAGACTCAGCCAGCCTGGTTCTTCCATGTTCCTCTGCCTGCTTTTATCCTAGCTGCACTGGCAGCTGATCAGATGGTGTCCATCCAGATCGAGGGTGGGTCTGCCTCTCCCAGTCCACTGACTTGAATGTTAATCTCCTTTGACATCACCCTTGCAGACACACCCAGGAACAATACTTTGCATCCTTCAATCCAACCAAGTTGACACTGAGTATTAATGATCACACATATTAAACATGTTTTATGATACCAAGGTTAAAACCCATTTTTTTCCTCAAGCCACTCATGCTGATGAACACCACCTCCAGTAAAATGCTTTCCTCACTTTTCTAGCTATCGCACACACTGTTCGCTCATTCAAGAACTTTCACTGCAGTGTTTCTGCAATGCACTAACACACCCAGAAGCTGCTCCCTCCATGTCCTCACTCTCCCATATCCTGCTCTCCGCCTGGTCCAGCGCCCATAGTCCATTGCTGAAGCCACTTCACTCCTTGCCCTCACCTCCCTCTGTTCCACTCGAGTGACGAATACCTACCCAAGGTGGAACCCCCCTTTCCAGCATGTCTGTCCTTGCCCCAGAGGAGCTGGATGACCCTTGAAGGAGGACATCAGAGCAAAAGCAGACTGATTTCATTTAACATCATGATCAAACATCTCACCCAGGCAGGCAGCACTCTCCTGTACCCTCGTCTTGTTTCTACGGTAGGCACGACTGCTCATGCCTAGAGACCCCTTCTTCTAACTCCAATCTCCCAGGCTGAGGAGTTACAAACCTACCCTCCCACCATTAAATCTGCAGAGTGTCTGCGCATGTATTCCTCTTTGCCCACTTCTCACCTGCAGTCCTGAATTTCCTCCTGTGTGTCCAAGGCCAGTGCGCTTGCAATTCTGTCTCCTTCTGCCTCCTGCAAGCTTGCATTTCCCTTCAGCTCTCCCCTTTCTCTCCTGCATCAGCTTCCAACAGAGTGAATATGTGGCCAATCCATCCATCTTCCAATTAAGCAAAAGTCCCCCCTTGTTCTCTCTTCCCTCGGGCCACCACCCCATTTCCTTGTTTGCAGGTCATACCTTGAAACGATTGCCCATGCCCGTGGCCTTCGACCCTCACCTCCTTGTCTCCTCTTCCATGACTGCATCCCGCTGCTTTCCTTTACCACTCAGTGGAATCCACTTTACTTAAACCACCTTTATGTGGCAAAATCCAATGGACACTAGACCTGCCTCATGTTCCTTAATTTCTGATGTGATTACCACGTCTTCTTCTGCAGCTCTTGGGGGTTTTCTCCTAATTCACTAGCAGCTTTTCCTCCACCCCAGTTGCTGGCTTTCTCTTCTTCTTCGGGCGTGGCCCTAACTTTCTTTTGACAACCTCATCCATTCTCATGGCTTTAAGCATCATCTATATTTTCCCACATATGAACCTTTAGCCCAGATGTCCCCTTAGGCAGCCCTCCCTTCTGTCTCTTAACAACATGGACATCTTTTCTGGCAAATTATATATCTAGGCATTGTTTCTTGATAGCTAAGTAGTGTAATAGTCTATAGCATTTATTAAACCATCTATTTATTAAACTCTTCTTTTTTGACAGGCATTAAGACATTCTGTTTAAGTATTTTGGCTTATAGGAATATTGATTCACAAGAGCAGTAACATTGAATCAAATGGTATGTGTAGTTTAAGGTTTTGTAGAAACTGCTAGATTTCTTTCAGTGAGGAGTAGCACTTCAGATTACCACAACCAGCAATCAAAGGACTCGCATCACTGCACCTCAGCCAACCCGGAAACGTGCCTTCCTCCCAAAAGGATGTCAACTCCATCGTCGAAATATGGTTTCCTGTGGGGCTCTCCATTTTATATAATAAATAGTTAAGGGTGTTCCACCACTTTTAACTAGTCAAATTTCTTCATATGTGTTTTCATTATTTACACTGGGTTTTTAATCCTTTTACTTATCAATTTCATGTAAACCTTTATGTAAGGAAATATTAATGTTTCTCTTGATATGAATGTGGTGTAGATGGTTTACCTATTTATTTTTTTTTTTTTGAGGGAGTCTCACTCTGTCACCCAGGCTGGAGTGCAGTGGCATGATCTTGGCTCACTGCAACCTCTGCCTCCCTGGTTCAAGTGATTCTCCTGCCTCAGCCTCCCAAGTAGCTGGGACTACGGGTGCGTGCCACCACACTCGGCTAATTTTTTATTTTTAGTAGAGATGGGTTTTCACCATGTTGGTCAGGCTGGTCTCGAACTTCTGACCTCAGGGGATCCACCCGCCTCAGCCTCCCAAAGTGCTGGGATTACAGGTATGAGCCACCGTGCCCAGCCAGTTTTCCTGTTTTTGACTTTTGCCTTTGTTTTGGGTGTTGGATGGCATCTGATTTTTTACTAATTGTGTAGAAAAATATGTCTCTGTTCTATGGATTTTTGGTTTCATTTATTGCTTTGGGTAGCCTATTTATTCTAAAGCTAAATTAGTTTTCTACATCTTAATCTAAACTTTCATTTTTGTATTTGAAATTTTAATTCATGTGGAATTAAGGTGTGTGTGTGTGATTTAAGGTAAGAGTTACTTCTTTCCCTGTTTCATTTCTGCATGCACAATACCTACTGAATTGAAATTTGCTTTTGTCGCATTCTAAATTTCTAAATATATTTGCATCCATTTCTGGTTTATGTTTTTGTTACATTGATCCATTGATTTAGTTTAAGGTTACACTGTATTCATTATCTTAGCTTTTGATAACTTTTGAGATATGATAAGGTAAATCTCTCCTGATTAGTGTTCATGACAGTCTTAGATATTCTCAAATATTTACTTTTCTCTTCAATATTAAAATAATTTCAACTAGTCTTAAATGAAAAAATATTTCCCTTTTTTTTTTTTTTTTTTTTTTTTGTGTGTGTGTGTGTGTGTGTGTGTGTGTGTGTGTGTGTCTTGCTCTGTCGCCAGGCTGGAATGCAGTGGCACAATCTCAGCTCACTGCAACCTCCACCGCCCAGGTTCGAGCAATTCTCCTGCCTCAGCCTCCCAAGTAGCTGGGACTACAAGTGCATACCACAACACCGAGCTAATTTTTGTATTTTTAGTAGAGACAGGGTTTCACCATATTGGCCAGGATGGTCTCGATCTCTTGACCTCTTGATCTGCCCGCCTTGGCCTCCCAAAGTGCTGGGATTACAGGCGTGAGCCACTGTGCCTGGCCCCAAGTTGTTTTTATTTTTGTTTTGTTTTGTTTTTACAAATGCACCCAGCGTTTCAAATTTAAAAATGTATTATAATAAGATCTAGAGCTTTATAGTACCTATATTCTACTAAATAAATTAGTTTCAATACATAGTGTGATGACTTCAAACTGAGACTAATCTTTATGACACTGTATCTCTAATTATAGGAATCTTATATTACTTTTACCCACACTATTTTATAATAGTGTTCAAATAAATGATGTCCTCATACTAGTGTGAAGTCTAGGATGTGTAAACATAATGCAATTAAGAGAAAGATAGAAATCATCAAATATGCTGCTAAGGGAAATCTTTAACCTCAGATATCCATATCTGTGTCCATATCCAGATCTGTTCTATGCCTCCCTCTCTATATATGTATGCATATATACACACATATGATATATAAAATCGTAAACTTATAGTATATGTCTCTTGTTCAGCCTTTATACATTTGACTTTTATACAGACTTCCAAGAACATCATGGGCTGCTGGTGTACTGATGACCTAATGATATATCTTTGTGTTTTGCTCCGTGTTGACGTTGCATTATTTAAGGCTTGCCATTATATCTGGAGGGTTTCACACTAACATCCTTACTTGGCATCTGTTGTTCTACTTGGGTACCCTTCCTTTTAGGTTGTTTGGTGGATGGGAAAGGATTCCTTATGCTTTCAATGGTTGGCCCAGACTCAGTATCACATTAAAGATATAAACATGCCACAGTAACTTAACTGATAGACCTGGATAGATTAAGTCAATTTTAGTTTCCTTTTATTTTATTCATTTATTCAGTATTTAATTCATGTATTTATTATTCATGACTTCAAGAAATATTATTTAACTCCTGGTCCTTTTCAAGGAGTAATCTAAGGGCTAAAGATATAAAGATGGCTGGGCACAGTGGCTCACGCTTGTAATCCCAGCACTTTGGGAGGCCAAGGCGGGCAGATCACTTGAGGCCAGGAGTTTGAGACCAGCCTGACCAACATGGCAAAACCCCATCTCTACCAAAAATATATAAATTAGCTGGAGGTTGTGGCACATGCCTGTAATCCCAGCCACTTGGGAGGCTGAGGCAGGAGAATCGCTTGAACCCAGGAGGTAAATGTGGCAGTGAGCTGAGATCACACCATTGCACTCGAGCCTGGGCAACACAAATAAATAGATTAATTAATTAATTAATTAATTAAAAATAAAGATACAAAGACGAACAAGCAAGCTAACATTCCTACTCTCTTGAAATCACCATACCAGTGTGTGAGACAGAGTAAGTAAGTAAAGAGATGTTATAAGAACTTTTGATGGCATCAACTAATGTGAGAAAAATAAAGGTGTTTAACGAACTACTGAGTGACCTGGAAGCAGAGTGGACTTGAGGGGTAATTTTAAATAGGTTGTTAAGGGAAAATCACTCTCAAGAAGTGGTCTCTAAGTTACTGAAAGGAGTGAGTGAGTCAGCAACGTGAAGACCTGTGGGAACAGTGTGCCACACAGAGGGAACAGCAAGTTCGAAGACCCTGAGGCAGGAATGAGCATGTTCCACATTGTTAAGCCAGAGAATCTAGGCTGTCAAAAGTTAGGTTTTTTGTTTCACTTTTTGTTAATTCCTCCCAAACTAATAGGTCAATACTACTTTTTATTTCGGAGTTACTTACTCAAGCTAATAGCCCTGGGCTCCACTTACCTTTACTTCCAAACTTTTTAAAAAATTCATTGCTTCATGCTCCTCAAATACCTTTCCACTCAAATATAGCATTTCATCTCCCACACTGTTACTGTACTGAAACATCAAACTCTCTTTTTGGTTCCAGTTTATCTCAAATTATTTGCACATTTTCACTCAGTGACCACCTCTAACTTCTTAACCTCTCGCTGCTTGCTTTTCTGAAAATAATTGTCCTTGTAACACTGACTTGTTTCTGCCCCTCTCACTTTTCCCACCTATGCCCATATTTTAAGTTTTTTAATCATTCACTCACGCCAGACATTCTGCTATGCACTCAGTTTATATGTATAAATAGAATTTTTTTCTACAAGAAATTCACAATCGAGGAAAAATTGAAAATGAATAACGAATTTTCAATTTCCATCTGTAAGTCAGTATTATGAGACAAGACAGGGAAAGGCACCCAGTTGTTCCATGAGGAAGGTGTGTGCGGAGCTGGGGCAAGCTCATCAGAGTAGGCAGAAGGCATTTCAGGATGAGGAGGCATTTACTGAAGATCAATGGATGAGGAGCCCAGGGAGGGAAGAAGGCCTGCACAAAGCACCATGTTGTGACTGCGTAGTGCGTTCAAAGCAAAGAGATGGAGAAAGAAGAACAATGTGCAGTAGTTGGACAAGTCTGATGTGTTTCTGTGTTACTCATTATGCAAGGGAGGGAGTTCCTTGAATGATTTTCAAGAGCGAGTGATGTGATCAGCTTTGCATTTTAGATCTGTCATTCTGATGGTACTGTAGAGTGTGGATTAAAGGAGAGACTGAAAATGGGAGAAGCCTTGAAATAGCCCAGGTGACAGCTTAAATCAGGAGGGTGGGGACAGGGAAGGGGAGGCGTGGTCTGACTAGAGAGGTATTTATAAGGTGGAATTAACAGAATTTATTGTCTGATTAGTGAAAAATTCTGTGTTGCTTTGCTCTTTTAAAAACATGCATATCCTACGTAGGGTAATTATTTCATCTCCAACATCTCTGTGGCTGGGTTCCAGGAAAATCTACCAGGCTGTGCCCTTCATTGGGATCTCCTGATTTGCGCTATTCAAACCCAAGCAGACCCTGTATCTTATCAGCACTTCAAACCTGCACTGTCCAGACTGAATCTATGCTCTTCCTTCCTAAACCTGAATGTCTCAACCCTGAATGACATAGGAGCCATAGGTCAGGTTTAGAATTTTCTAAGGACTTTTTCTGAAAGCAACTGGAATCCACTAAGATGGAATTCTTAGGAATTCCTAAAAGTGGAAAGTAAAGATTTGTGTTAGAAAGATTGACTATAGAGAACAAATGGGAGGGAGCAGTGGCACAGTCTGGGAGGCCAGGTAGGTGGCTCTTAGGATGACCCACATGGGTGAAGAGTTTGTGTTGGTGATTGACCTGAGCATGGAGAAAACTGGATGAATTTGAAAAAGACTTCAGTACCAGGACCTTAAGGCCTTGGGACGACTTCGGCATTGTGGAGTATACGATAAATGGAATATTCAAGGCACTTAGGTTTGTGTGTGAACAGCTATGTGTATGGTGTTACTAAGTTTCAGATGGGAAGAGCAGGCTTGGGCATGCCAAGTCCCACGGTATGCAAGAAGAGCTGTCCAGTATGTAGCCATAGACACACAGCTGCAGCTCAGGTGAGAGATGCCTATTTGAAATAGGCATGGGAGTTGTTAGCATACTGGTTTCATTTAAGCCACAGGAGGAAAGGAAATAGGTGACAAGGAAACAGATGGCTCAGGTCAGAAATTTTAGAAGGGCAGATAAAGGATGAGTGGTTTGCAAAGGAGTTAAGATGTCTTCAATCAACAGCTCGGGTAACACTGTTTCAAGAGGCAGTGTCTGCTAAGCAGGCTGGCATGAAGTGAGAAGATCACAGTGCAGGCAGGACCAGCATCCTCTGGAGTAATCGATGAGGAGGCCATTAGTGATGTAGACGTAGAGCAGGGCCAGGGGAGAGGAGGGAGGAGTTCTTGCAATGACTTGAGCTGCAATTGGAAGGGAATGAAGAGTACAGAACACATATGAGCTTTGGCTACTAAAAGGAAAAATACACACAGGGCAGTTGGTGGAGGAGGTTGTGCCACTCCAAAATGCTTCATTTTTTTGGAGAGGAAACACATGAGCAGTGTTAAATTTACTGCAGCAAAAGTAGGTCACATGTGCTGATATGTGCATCTTCTTCCTCATCTTTGGAAAGTGAAACCCATCTATCCTTTCACATTCACCCTCTGCCGGTGGTCCAAAGCCCTCAACAATTTGTCCTGTATTTACAGAGTGAACCAAAAATCATCAAAGGCCATGTGTTGGGCCTGGGTTTTGTTTTTAAAACTTTTGGCATCCTACAATGGTTTGAGAAACTGGGATAACGGTAACGACAACCATAAGAGCAACAAGACAGGTTTGGTTGAGGTTTGACATAAAGGAAACTTTGTTTTTCACTAATTTTCATAAATTAATGCTAGAATAGAACACACAACATCATGGTTTAAGAGTGACTGTTCTGTCAAAATGAGCCTTCTTGGCAGTACTATGAAAACCTGTTCCAAACCACAGTTCAGTGATGCTTTGCTTTCTAAGGAGAAAGCTTCATACTGTGGAGTCCATTGAAATAATTCTTAAACTGGAGTTTCAAATTGACTTGTGCATTCAGAAAATGCTCAAGAGGTCACTGTTGAAATTTCAGTCAATATGTCATCTCCACATATATTTGTGGTTGCAAAAGCTTATTGGACGCTTCTCGATACTTTAAAACAAGATAAGAATGCAAACGGAAATTTGAGACAACCTTGTGTGAATCAATGCTGCATTCTAACTACTCTACCATTTTGGTTAGTTCAGCTTAACACAGTCTTTTGCTAATAGAAAGGGGTTGAGAGAAGGATAACTAAAGGCAAATAGCTTCAGGGTCTTCTGAATAAGGAAAGATGAAAGAGACTTGAGTTATTGATTATCTAGAAATGAGAAGTGACAGGAAAGGCAGGCACAAATTAACGAATGCTTTTGTGGAAATCAATTGGCCATTCTCCTTCATTCAAGTTGTTAGTAGAAAAAGAGGAAGAGAGTCGTTGAAGTGGGCCAGCAACAAATATAAGATTAAGGAAAGACATTCCTCCTGCTGCCTCCTATTTTAACTATATTAAAGTCATTGCTGCAAAGTATTATTGGGGGAAAAATGCCATTCAAAGGTTAAATTATTTCCTACATGTCTAGTTCATTATTCTCTACTCTGAACAACTTTACTTATTAGGTTTATCTTTGGAGAACCGAGTTGAGATTGAACCCCTTCCACACAGCACTCATGAGCTGAATTTATGCAGGGCAACATTTTGCTTCACCTTTTCCATTCTTAGGGAATCCTAAACAAGTCTTAATTTCCCTTTCATCTCACAGTGATACCTAAAGCACATCACCTGTGATGTACCCACAAAATCAGTTCAAGTGAAATTCAGTAAATCATGGCCTGGCATACTTGGCCAGTGTGAGCTGTGATAACAAACACAGTCATGTAGGTTGGACAGGGAGGCAGCACATCCCTCCATGATCATTAGGGGAGACTCCACTGCTACTTATGGGACCACAGGGTCAATCCTAGGGTCTCTTAGCTACTTTGCAATTTTTATCATCACTTAACTCTTCTAGGGCTTGGTACTTAATTTCCTCATTTGAAAAATGAGGCCAATGATACCATCCCAATTCATTTCCTAGGTAGCTGTGAAAGTCAATCAATTTATTAATAACTTCTCCTTACCGTTATTCTTTCCTTTATCCATTTTGCAGTCACCCAACTATACAATCAGCTCTTACTGAGCCACTGCAGGAGACAGTGCAGGTACAGGCACTGCCCGTGGCATGAGACTGTGGACGTGAAAGGACGTATTTTTTGACTGAACCCCAGTCTGCAGTCTAGTAACAACATGTGAAAGCTCTTGGAAATGTGTGATGCACCATGCAGATTGAGAGACTAGGGCAGGAATGGAGTTACTATGCTCTTCCCCACTTTAATCAGACACGTTGGTAACTTTGGGTGTTTTTGTTTGTTTGTTTTTGGAGATGAAGTCTCGCTCTGTCACCCAGACTGGAGTGGAGTGGCGTGACCTTGGTTCAAGCGATTGTCATGCCTCAGCCTCCCGAGTAGCTGAGACTACAGGCATGCACCACCACGCCCAGCTAATTTTTGTATTTTTAGTAGAGACAGGGTTTCACCATGTTGGCCAGGCTGGTCTCAAACTCCTGACCTCAGGTGATCTGCTCGCCTAGGCCTCCCAAAGTGCTGGGATTACAGGTGTGAGCCACCGTGCCCGGCCTTTGGGTGTTTCTTTTATCTGACCCCTCTGATTTATAGTAAGTGACAGAGGCTGGCATCTGTTCACAAGACTTCTTTTCTATCATTTAAAAAATAATTAGTTTTATTTACTAATCCTACCCCCCCAAATTTTGTCTTATTAAAAATGTTCATTATGACAGCACATAACTGAATCCCCTCAGTATTTTGTAGATTTATTTCAACACTTTGCCTCTTAACTTTCTGAAAGTCTGGTTCTAGATGTAACTCTTCCATTATTGTTTTGGTCTATTTTGTTAAGTCAGGTTTATGGAGGTATAATTTACATACAGAACTTATTTTTAGGTGTATAGTTAAAAAAAAATTTGACAAATGAGGGACCCACCATGTAAGGGACCCACAATGAACATATAGAATATTTTTCTCACTCCAAAGAGTTCCCTTGTGTCCTTTATAGTCAATCTCCTTCCATAATCACTAGCCTCTGTCAATCACAGATCTGATTTCTGTTTTTATAGCTTTGCCTTTTCCAGAATGTCATGTAAATGAAGTTGTACAATATGTGATCTTCTGAGATTGGCTTTTAAAATTCAACATCATGCCCTTGAGATCCAGCCAAGTTGTTGTCTACCAATGCTTCTTCCTTTTAATTACTGAGTGGTGTTCGGTGGTGTGGATGCGCCATGGTTTGTTGAACTATTCACCTATTGAAAGACATTCCGGTTGATTGTAGCTTTTGTCTATTACAAGTAAAGTTACTATGAAGAATCCTGTACTGGTTCTTGTGTGGATGTAAGTTTTCATTTCCTTTAGTAAATGTTCAAGAGTGCAATTGCTGGGTATGGCAAGTGTGTTTAGTTGTTTAAAAAGATTGGCTTTCATTCTTCAGCATGATGCATCTGGCAATCATCCATGTTGATGCATATATCACAGGTTTATTCATTTTTATTGTTGAGTAGGATTCTCTTTGATGGATATATCACAGTGTGTGCACCCCATTCACTAGTTTGTGGGCATTTATTTGTTTCCAGTTTGGGGCTATTATGAGTAGAGCCTTTATAAATATTCAAAGACAAGTTTGTTTGTTTTGCATGGGCGCGTGGTTTTATTTGCCTCAGGTAAACACTTAAATACTTAGGACTGGGATTTCCCTTGTATCTTGAGACACTGAAATTCTTGGCCTGCCATGGAGGATTTCACTAGCAGAAATCATAAAAGTGCTGTACTCAAACCATTGTGATTTAATTATTAAGCCATGGGATGGGAAATATTAGGTAAACCATTCTACTTTCAAAAAATCTCAACTGGGCAAGTTCAACACAGAATATTTCTGGGCTTTCTCCTTCCACTGTGTCCATTATGTCCTGGGCCCAGTTTCCTGGGTCCAGCCTGGGGTTCCTCTTTCTTTACCTGGCTCTTGAGTTTCGGATCCTCAGCTCTGAGACGGGGAGAAATTCCTGAGCTCATTCTGCTTACATAATAGGCTTCTGGTTTCCATGGCTATGTGGTCTAGCAGTGTCAGCCCAGGGATGCTCCCACAGTGTCACTTTTGATGTCTTCCAGTTTCTGATTTCCAGGGTTCTTACACTCCCACCACTCCACTCCCTTTCCAGGTACCTGGTCTAAAATGGTTGGAGCATTTATTCTACCATCTATCTGTCTGTCTGTCTATCTATCTATCTATCTATCTATCTATCTATCTATCTATCTATCTATCTATCATCTGTTTAAATTACTGCAACCCATGAGCTGAAATAATAAACCTTAATCCTCTTTAACTCTGTTAACACAATGGGAAAGATTTGCTCTTTAAATAATTAGTAGCAATGGTGTTTTTTAATGGAAGACCCATAGTCTGTTTACATTTCAAACTGCTTTGTAAAGAAGAAATTCTTAATGAACTCAAGCTCCAAATTTTAATTAACAGTCTCTAAAATGCATAGCATTTAACATCTTTTTTTTTCTCATTTTCTTATCTAACATTCCCTTATCTTCATCATTGATTCAAGCATAAATGACATTTCAAAAGTATATTTAAATAATTAGCTTTCGGTAGTGTCAATGAAGGCCATAGAAAGACAAATCTGTGTTCAACCCTCACACCCATGAACAGGCCAGAAGACACTGGTTTAAAAATATAGTCTGGAGTATAGTCTGAAAATATTTTTAGGATGTTTGGTTAAGAGTGTTTGATGAAGTTAATAGTGGCAATTTTATTCCAAGAGTATAAGTAGGATAATACCAGCAGCATTCTTTACTGGTTTTATGAAAATTTAGAAGTTGCAGAGTGTTGTTTTGGGCTGGTTTCTAGCAGTTCTGTGCCTTATCCCTGCACCCCCAGGAAACAGTAGCAGAGACATCAGGGGTGGGGACAAGACAAGAGGCAGTGGCCATGACAGGTCTCCTGAGTCTTCCTTACTCATGATGAGGGCTTACTTTGGACCAGATCTAAGCTAGGTCTGGAACATCAGGCCAAGACTGATCATATAATAAAGCTGGTTTGGAGTTAAAACCAAACTTACATTGATAAGATCTGACACATTTTCATGCTACTTACAATAGTATTTGGTAAAAGAGATTGAGTCATCAATAGTAATCAGTACACATAAAAGACGGTCATAAATGTTCTTTAATGAAGTCATGTTTCAGCAGTTCTTTTCTTGATTCCCCAGTGTCTACGATAGTTTGCAGTGTCGAAAATGACCTCTACACCTTGTAAGTTTGGTATGTACGCTGTCTCCTGTAGCTTTAAAAAGGCTCTCAATGTGATTCCTAACATTCAGAGAACTCAAACTTGCCTACTCTGTGCCCCGATCTCCTTCCACCAACCTCCTTCCACCAACCTCCTTCCACCTCCCACAAAATAAGGAGTATGGTCTCGTTCATCTACAAGGATTCTGGGGAAAAGATCGCCAGTGGTTTTCCCCTTACCAGCTGTGACTTTGCTGAGGAAACATACTGAGTTGCAGAAGATGATGGATCAATGTTGACTGGAATTACATGGAGGGTGATAGATCAGGAGGAGGCTATGAGTGTCTGAAAGGAATGCATAATGGCCTCAGGTGGCATTACCACCCAACACTGCCTATCCCACCTGTTTTATCTTCCACATCTACCTTGTACATTCTCCACCTTTCCCTATGCCAAAGACTTGACGCTGGATCCACAGAGGAAGCGGAATCAGTACCTCCAAGTTTCCCAGCTCAGACTGAACAGAGCATAAGTAGTCCTGCCCCAGGGTGCAGGAAGGTGGGGACTCAAGAGCCAGGTGGGAAACCCTCTTAGAAGTGCTTACAAGGTATGCACTTACTCCCAGCCCTGCCTCAGCCCTGCCCAAGTTTCAGGCTGACTGTAGGTGACCCCTGTCCTCTGGGGCACTACATTTTTCCTGGTTCCTTAGTTTGTGATCACATGTCTGCATGAGGAGAAAGTGGTAGCTCCCATGAAAGGAAAGTAAGAAAAAGGAGGGCTTTTCTTGTTTGTTAGTTTGATTTTCTTTTTTTCCCTTGTTAAAATTTTCTTAATGTATCTGGATTATATCATCCATGATGTAGTTTTTAGCATGCTTTTCTTTCTGTGTTCTTCAATTAATTTTTAACACATGACCAAAGATTTTAGAGGCACACAGATGAACCACATAACCCCATTTTATTAATATATTCAGAAAAATATTTTAGTTGACTCAATTCAAACTCAGCTATGAAATTGTTGTATTAAAGGGTAGTAATCAAAGTTATGGAAAAAAATCTGTTATGCATTAAGGGAATTCCTCGTGTCTCTCTTCAACTCATGATTAAGCAATTTATGTCATTCTGTAGAATTTGTAAATTGGCATTAAGCCTTCATCTTTGAATTTCAAAATTTTAGCCTTTATCAAATTTCAGATCAAAAGGCATGAAATCTAACTTGACCTTCTCCAAGCACTAAATTCTCCTTCCATCTGAGTGAACTGAGCACTATATCTAGTCCTCTCCTTTAGATATAGGTATATTTAGGCCATTGTGCTATGAAAGTATTCTGTGACTAATCTGTCAAAAAGAGACAATATTGGTAATTTTGACATTATTTAGAAATAATTAAATGCACCCCTTTGAAAATCACATATTGCAATATTTTCTCATTTTTACAGCTTTAAAATATATAATAGGATGAAACTTCTGCTTGTGTATATAAACTTACAGCTAGTTTAAAGAAACTGTATGCAGCTAATATCTGTAAACTATTCCAGTTGCTTGATGGACATTTCCTACTTGAAGCATTGTCAGCGAACACTATATATATGTACTCTGATACATATGAATTGATAATTGATACATTTGTATCACAGTCATATGCATGCATATATTTGCCCCTCTTCTAAATCCATGGCATTTTCCCTTGTGATTGATGGTTTTACCTTTATTCTTGTCACTGCAGTTTGAAAGTTCAGAGACTTTTCTTTCTCTACCTTCTGACTCCACTTTCTCCCTTGTCACCCAGTAGGGCAATTCACCATCTCTCAAAGGTTCTTTCTCTTCATAATCCCTATCATTTACCCCGGCATTGCATTTTTTTTGTTCGAACTCAGACTCTCCTAACTTTCACCCAGAATTAGTGCATATGCTTCGGGAAGATGCTCCCTACCATGTCTCTCTATGAGCTGCTCTAGAAGCCTCCAGATTTTTGATGGACTCCACTATTTTTTTGTAATGCTGTTTGCAAATCTTTAATGGTTCCTGTGGCAGAACTGAAAATGATGAAACTATTTTTACTCTCTCAGAAATGTGGAGATTCCAATTCTTGTTTTAGCTTTATTTTCAACTTTTCACCCTTATGTATCTTTGCTTCTGCCAAACTGATAAGTGCTTGAAATTATCCTATAACTTCTGCCTTTTTTCCATTTTTTTCTCAACTTAAAATTGAGAAATTTTTTCTCATCTTTGAATTTAAAATTTTTAGCTGTGATTAAATTTCAGATCAAAAGGCACAGAATCTCTAAGTACTAAATTCTCTTTATGTATGAGTTAACTTAGCACTTTGTCCATTCCTCTTTTTTAGATATAGGTATATTTCAGTGACTATCTTCTTTATCCTACTTGGTAAACAGTATCAATGCAAAGTAACTTATTAAACTTGTAACCATCAAATGTCTAAATACAAAGCTTTGCATATAGCAAATTCCAAATAATAGATTTGAATGATTGAATACATTAGCAGATGAATGAATGATTGGATACATTAGCAGATGAATGAATGAATGAGTTCCTTTAACATGACAGGACCCTTGATATGCTCTGTAAATGCAACTGTAACCAAAACAGAGATGGCCCCTGTATTCATGAAGTTTATGGTCTATAGGGCAGAGGGAAAGGAAGAATACTGATTAAAGTCTCCCTTTCATCATAAGAGCATAATTATGTGGTGAGCCAACTGCTTTACATCAACTTTTCAGATACATTCAGATATTAAAAAGAGTACAGTGCAAGAATTGGGCTCAATGGGCCATAATGGGACAAAGATGGTCAAACTTAACTTACATGATCCAGTAATATGCTCCCTGGTCCTTCTCTGGCTTTAATATTCCCTGGGCATGGTCAGTGGTGTCTCCATATCCCAGGAGGAGAAGCACTGAATACTGATTTTCACTGCCTCTCAACTCTTTCTTACATGTGTGCACACTCAACCCCATGGCTATGTCTTCATGACCAGGGATTTTATCTTCTACCTTTTTATGTCTTAGTTCACAGCCAAGTGCAGAGAGGACATTCAATGAATTCCTTGTTTATGAAGAATTGACTGACTGAAGGGAATTGTTGTTCTCATTATAAGCACAGCACATACTGAACACAAAATATGAAGCTTTCTGATATCAGAAAATGTATTATTTAAAAATAAATAATATATAATAAATATTCTATATAATACAAAATATAAACTCTTGTCCTACTTGTTGAAATAAGCTATACATTCAAAAGAGGGCAGAACTAGTTATGCCAAAGACATATGTCCTTTGGCACAAAGAAATCGATCTTTATGGATTTTTATATTACACGAGTCACTTGGTTGCCACTGGCAGAAATCAACTCATAATGGTTTAAATACAAAAGGGAATGTATTGGCTTTTATATTTGGAAAATGGCCCTTATACTCAGAAAATCTGAATGCCAGTGGCTTCATGTATTGCTGGATCAGGGGTCAGGGGATTTGACTGATATTTTCCATTCTAATTCTCTCTCTCTCTCTCTCTCTGCATCTCTTTCTCTCTCTTTTTCTGTCTCAGAAGAGATTGACATTGACAGCCATGATATCCTCATGGGCTGATATTTAAACAACAGAGAGGGCATTAAAAAAATATTCCAGTGTCCCAGGAAGGGGAACATCACACACCAGGGCCTGTTGTGGGATGGGGGGAGGGGGGAGGGATAGCATTAGGAGCTATACCTAATGTTAAATGATGAGTTAATGGGTGCAGCACACCAATATGGCGCATGGATACGTATGTAACTAACCTGCACGTTGTGCACATGTCCCCTAAAACTTAAAGTATAATAAAAAAAATTCCAGTGTCCATTTATCAAACTTAAAGGAAAGATCCTGAATTGTCCCACTAGGGCCAGGTCCTACACTGGAATCAGTCATTGATTGTCAGTGTCAGAGCCATTATGGTGGGCTCAGCCCAGTTCAGATTTCCAGTCCCGTGGGCAGTTGACTTGGACAATGTTTCTACTAACTTTCAGGACCACATGGAGTGACAGATATGAGGTGCTTCTCCAGGGGAAGGATGCTCCCAGAAAAAATAATGGAACACTCTAGATGGTTAATGAAAATGGCAGAATCTGTATAATGGAGTAGCAGGAAAATAGGAATAAGGATGGAAGATATATGGAAAAAGCTGACTTTATTTTGAATACAAATTAGTATTAACCTTCAATAAGCAAGGTAGAACCATTGACTATTTCTATACCATTTCTATACCATTATTTGTATACCATTATTCTGAATTGGTATAATAACAAACTTGTTTTTAAAGTCTACATAGTAGAGTGAAGTGGTGAGAGAATAAAGCCAAGGGTGTTTAATGCAATAATTAAGACTTGCAATGAGGAGGGTTCTTATGTTGGACACAGAGAAACTTATCTGTGAATTGGTTTCTGTGTTCTTGCATTGATCTTTAAATTGACCTTGCAGAATTTCTTTCATCTGAATGTGTCTTAGAAATTAATAAAAAGCGGAATGAAAATCATGAAAAACTATAAAATATATGTAAAACCTAAAAATGACAATAGAGATTTTAGCATCTTATTTTTCCCAAATGTATTTACAGTGAAAAGAAAAATAAAACAGGCATTGTAAAGCCAAAATTTAATATTAAATGTGAACTTTAGTTTTGTCTCAGGCCTTTTAGTACTGAAAATGTTTTATATCAAAAAATTAAATAGCAAATATTTTATATCAAAATAATATTTTAAATAAAATTATTGTCAAGACACATGAAAATCATGCATTTTTTTCAGTTTTACTTGCAATCATGAAATTTAAGTTACACACATACATACATACTTTTAAATTAAAAACAAAGAAATTTAAGAGAAATCATTAATATAAAGTATATGCTCGTTAGTCTTGTATCTAAAATGTGTAATGTTCATTTTGCAATGTTGCTTCAGACTCAGACTAAAGGCATCCAGGAAGCTGCCTGAATGGAGCCAGCAAGGGCTTCTGTTTCTATAGGAGGGAATCCTGTCTGAGACTGTCTGAGCACCAGAGAATTTGCCTATTAAATACCTTTCTGGCAGGAACAGTGAGCTGAGTCTCTTCCAACCGGAATTGAAGATGTTGATCAAAGATGAAATATGTAGATATGGATTCAGAGCAGAAAGATCGTTCAACATTTGAGGGTTCAAAAATGTATATTTAGGGTAGAGCATCTAAATTTATTTTACTGAGTATAAAACCAAAGAGAACTTCTCTTTTGGGATATAGCCTGTTTGGGCCAGGAATCCAAGCTTGTCTGAGACTGTCTTAATTCCAAAGCATCATCCTCTCTTGGAAGAAATAGAGCAACAATTTGAGCTCTTACATCTTGAAGACGCTCAGTAGTGGAGGCATGGTGTTTAGAATGGCAGGGGCATTTAGGAAAAGACAGGTTCTGGTGTGCAGCATATGACGCTTCATCTGAAGGCATCTGGAAACAGCCATAGGAGGCAGTTCTGATCTTAAAGGGCCAGATTTTTTAGAGAAATTGTCATCTGATAAGTCAGTAGCTACGATGGGATGTGCCAGACCCTTGGCTGATGCTTCACATGCATTTTATCATTGGATCATCCCTGTGAGGTAGACACGAGACACAGAGAGGAAAAGGAATCTGCCCAAAGTCACACAAGCAATAAACGGTTGAGTGAAGATTTGGCACTGTGCAGTTGGTTCCCAGGGCAGGGCTTCAAATCAGCAGGCTCTCCAGAGCCTGGATGTAGCTGGCTGGTCTCTGCAGGGAACCTGGCCGGTGGGTGCCCTGCAGCACTCTGTGCGCTGGGGCCTTAGCACTTGGATATGACTTTGGAGCTGTCTGTGGCACAACCTGCAGGGCATAGTACACTCTGTCAGCCATAGGTTTGACTGGACAGCTGGGTCTACTGGGATAATGAAGCAGAAACATCACATCATGAGGAGAAACTTCAGTTTTATTATTACCCTGAAACGAACCCTAGAAAGAATTATGACTGTAAATCTATATCCACTGAAAGCTTTTGATCATGACCAAATCACTTGTTGTTTACGAAATATGGTAAGGGAAATAGTAAGTGTCAGAAAGCATAGATGGATGTGCAAAAAGTAAATATACCTTACATTATACAGTAATTTTTATGTCATGTGTATTGGTGTTATTTCCATTTTAAAGAGAAAATACTTACTACATTCTCTTACCAGATAAACATGCCCAAATAATTGGATGGAAACACAAGAAATGGCCTATTGATACATAATTTAAAGAATTAAGAGATAGCTGTAAACTAGTGAAATGAAAAATATTGTTGACTTTCTTGAGAAGAATTTAAATTATTTAGGTTTATTTCTCTGTCTTTCAGAGAAGTGTTTAGGTGCAGGATTATGTGTAGAACTAAATCCTCAAATATTTTAGGGCATAGCGTCTATATGTTGCACACATGTAATTTCTTTCAACTATTTATTGCTCTATAAAGAGGGATATAGACCTGCAGCTTGATTACAAGGATGGTAAAATCCAACACATTTTAAAGACTTCAGTGCTTAAGGAGGGGTTATTTTTTTTAGGCTCTGGGGGAGTAGGTTGAAATTGATTATACTCTTGTCTTTGAGAATCCACATTGTTCCTTTGTTTCATCGTCATTGTATATGCAGTAAAAAAAAAGTCTTTGGAAGAGTGTTATAACAATGGATTCTGAGAATAAAACTTCTGCTAGAGGAGTTGTTAGGAGCACAGATACCAATGTGTGTGTGTGTGCGCGCGCGCGCATGTGTGCGCGTGTGTGTGTGTGAATGTGTCTGTGTGTCTACAGCACCTGCATGTAAGCATGCTAATTCCTGAACAACTATCTTTTGGCCTCTCAGAATTCCTAGCAAATACTTTTGTAAAATAGGGTAAACAATAAGTTTGTGACTACATTATTTGTGAAATACTTCAGCTATGTATATATGTTTTTAAAGCCCCATAATCTAGCTGCTTGTGTCTTATCACTTTCTTTCATGTTCCTATAGTGGTAAGAACACATAACATAAAATGTACCATTGCAACCATTTTTAAGTGTACAGTTCAGGAATGTTAAGTATATTCTCATTGTTATGAAACAGATTTCCTGAACATTTCATTTTGTCATTCTGAAGCTCTGTACCCATTCAACGTCAACTCTCATCTTGCCTCAGTCCCTGGCAACCATCATTCTACTTTCTGCTTCTGAGTTTGACCTCTTTAGAAGCCTCATATAAGTGGAATCCTACAGTATTTATCTTTTAGTGATCAGTTTATTTCACTTAAAAAGTGTCTTCAATATCCATCCATGTTGTGGCATGTACAAGAACCTCTTCCACTGTAGGCTGAATAATATTCCATTATACATGTATACCATGTTTTGTTTATCCATTCATCTATGGACATCTGCTTCCACTTCTTGGCAATTTTGAATAGAGCTTTTGTAAACGTGGGTATACAAATATCTCTCCAACACCCTGCTTTCAATTATTTTGATGTATACCCAGAAGTAGCATTGTCAGATCATATGATAGTTGAAGTTTTCATTTTTTGAGAATACTCCAAACTGTTTTTCACAATGGCTGCACCACTTTACAATCCCAACAGTGAACAAGTGTTACAATTTCTCTACATCCTCACCAATGCTTTGTATTTTCTGTTTCTTTGATAGTAGCTATTCTCTCAGATATGAGGTCATAACCTGTTGTGGTTTTGACTTGCATTTCTCTGATGATCAATGATGTTGAGCATATCTTTATATGCTTGTTGGGAATTTGTATATCATCTTTGGAAAAATATCTATTCAAGTCCTTTTCCCATTTTTAATCAGATTATTTGATTTTTTGTTGCTGAGTTCTAAGAGTTCTTTATGTGTTCTAGATATTAATCTCCTATTAGGTGTATAAGGGTAAATATTTTCTCCCATTCTGTAAGCTGCCTTTTCACTGTGATGCTTATGTACTTTTATGCACAGAAGTTTTTAAGTTTGATGTAGTCTCATTCGTCTATTTTTGCTTTTTCTGTCTGTGCTTTTGGTGTCATAGCTAGAATTCATTGCCAAGTCCAATGTCATAAATGTCATAAAGATTTTTTCCCTGTGTTTTTTTCTAAGAGTTTTACAATTTTAGGTCTTCAATCCATTTTGAATTAATTTTGTATATAATGTAAAATAAGTCCAATTTTATTTTTTTGCATGTATGTTATTTTTGTTCTTTTATTATTATTTTTCAGTTTTGAAAACTGGTATCATTTAGTATGTTCAATCTTTGATAACATTTGTTTGTATTAAAATATATTCTTCCCCCGGTGTAAAACATGAATGTTGTTAGAAAATGGAAGAGGATATATATGCTTATATGCACACACACACATGCATATATATACATATATATATATGTGTGTATATATATATATATTCTTATATAGACTGTGTCCCCTAGAAGCAGAGAATGAAGAGTCAGGTGCACATTCCTATGTATTGAGACAGCTCAACAGAGAAAACCCATAAGGGAGTGAAGGAAGCAGGGCATAGAACAGAAAAGAGCAGAAAAACTATGTAGTCTTTGGCAGAGTCTATTATCATTCCAATCCACTTTGCTTTAGGGTACAAGTCACAGCATGGAGTGTCTCTGCTTGAGTCAAGGGGACATGTTTTTGTATCCTTGTGTAGGTCTCTCAGTGACTATGGCTTATGGGATGGGGTTAGGGTATTCCATTCCCTAGGAGGCTGAGGCTGACAGGGCAATTGTCTAGAGGAGGGGACAGCTGTGAATCCTTCCAGCCAGTACCAAGGTGACACGCTTTGGCTCTGTGTTCCCACCCAGTTCTCATCTTGAATTGCATTCCCATAATTCCCACATGTTGTGGGAGGAACCCAGTGGGAGATAATTTGAATCACGGGGGCGGTTTCCCCCATACTGTTCTCGTGCTAGGAAGTCTCACGAGATCTGATGGTTTTATCAGGGGTTTGCATTTCTGCATCTTCCTCATTTTCTCTTGCTGCTGCCATGTAAGAAGTGCCTTTTGCCTTCCGCCATGATTCTGAGGCGTCCCCAGCCATGTGGAATTGTATGTCCAATTAAACCTCTTTTCCTTCCCAGTCTTGGATATGTCTTTATCAGCAGCACGAAAATTGACTAATACAGTAAACTGGTATCAGTAGAGTGGGGTGTTGCTGAAAACATACCCGAAAATGTGGAAGTAACTTTGGAACTGCATAACAGGCAGAGGTTTGAACAGTTTGGAGGGCTCAGAAGAAAACAGGAAAATGTAGGAAAGTTTGGAACTTCCTAGAGATTTGTTGAATGGCTTTGACAAAAATGCTGATAGTGATATGAACAATAAGGTCCAGGCTGAGGTGGTCTCAGATGGAGATGAGAAACTTGTTGGGAACTGGAGCAAAGGTGACTCTTGCTACGTTTTAGCAAAGAGAATGGTGGCATTTTGCCCCTACACTAGAGAATTGTGGAACTTTGAACTTGATAGAGATGATTTAGCCCATCTGGTGGAAGAAATTTCTAAGCAGCAAAGTATTTAAGAGGTGACCTGGGTGCTGTTAAAAGCATTCCATTTTAAAAGGGAAACAGAGCATAAGAGTTCAGAAAATGTGCAGCCTGATGATGCGTAGAAAAGAAAAACCCATTTTCTGAGAAGAAATTCAAGCTGACTGCAGAAATTTGCATAAGTAACAAGCAGCCGAATGTTAATCCCCAAGACAATGGAGAAAATGTCTCCAAGGCATGTCATAGGTCTTTATGATAGCCGCTCTCCTCACAGACCCAGAAGCATAGGAAAAAACAAAGGTTTCATGGGCCAGGCCCAGGGTCCCTATGTTGTGTGCAGCCTAGGGACTTAGTGTCCTGCGTCCCAGCCTCTCCAGCTATTGCTAAAAGGGGCCAAGGTCCAGCTGGGCCCATGGTGTCAGGGAGTGCAAGCCACAAACCTTGGCAGCTTCCACATGATGTTGAGCCTGCAGGTACACAGAAGTCAAAAATTGGAGTTTGGGAACCTCCACCTATATTTGAGAAGATGTATGGAAATGCCTGGATGCCCAGGCAAAAGTCTGCGGCAGCGGCGTGGCCCTCATGGAGGACCTCAGCTAGGGCAGTGTGGAAGGGAAATGTGGGGTCAGAGCCTCCACTGGGGCACTGCCTAGTGGAGCTTTGGGAAGAGAGCCACCATCTTCCAGACCCCAGAATGGTAGATCCATCGACAGCTTGCACCACACACCTGGAAAAGTCGCAGGCACTCAATGCCAGCCCATGAAAGCAGCCAGGAGCCGGGGCTATACCCTGCAAAGCCACAGGGGTGGAGCTGCCCAAGACTATGGGAACCTACCTCTTGCATCAATGTGACCTGGATGTGAGACCTGGAGTCAAAGGAGATCATTTTGGAGCTTTAAAATGTGACTGCCCCACTGTATTTTAGACTTGCATGGGTTCTGTAACCCCTTTGTTTTGGCCAGTTTCTCTCATTTGGAATGGCTGTATTTACCCAATACCTGTACTAGCATTGTATCTAGGAAGTAACTAGCTTGCTTTCGATTTTACAGGCTCATAGGCATAAGGGACTTGCCTTGTTTCAGATGAGACTTTGGACTGTGGACCTTTGGGTTAATGCTGAAATGAATTAAGACTTTGGGGGATTGTTGGGAAGGCATGATTTGTTTTGAAATGTGAGGACATGAGATTTGGAGGGGCTAGGGGCAGAATGATATGGTTTGGCTGTGTCCCCACCCAAATCTCATCTTGAATTATTCTCCCATAACTCCCACATGTTGTGGGAGGCACCCAGTTGGAGATAATTTGAATCATGGGAGCAGTTTCCCCCATACTACTCTCGTGGTAGGGATTAATCTCAGGAGATCTGATGGTTTTATCAGGGGTTTCCATTTTTGCATCTTCCTCATTTTCTCTCGCCACTGCCATGTTAAGAAGTGCCTTTTGCCTCCTGCCATGATTCTGAGGCCTCTCCAACCATAGGGAACTGTAAGTCCAATTAAACCTCTTTTTCTTCTCAGTCTTGTGTATGTCTTTATCAGCAACATGAAAATGGACTAATATACCAGGTCAGCGGGGGATGGGTAAAGGGCATTGGGCAGGACATCAATAGTGCCCACTTCCATATTCCAAATGTCTGAGATCTTCGATATAAAGCATCTCCTAAATTGAAAATATAAGGAGAAGTGATTGAAACATAATTCATCCACATCAGATAAATAAATATACATTCTTACTCATAAATGATAAAGTCAATTTTGTTTTCCTTTACAGAAAATATTCCAACAATTATTTTATTTCCTTCTGTTGATTCATTTTCCTTTTGGAAAAAAAGTAGGGCAATAAGCAGTTTATTTCCATTCATGCCCATAATAGATTCATACTGAACCTTTCACCAGAATCCGCTTCATTCTCAGCTTTTTGAGTTCTACTCATAAAGGGTGAATAATAACCAATAAATCCAGTACAAAAGTTAAAGAAAAAGCAATCAGTGAAAACAGGTACTCCATCCTAATTGTCCCGTTTCCTTGGTGCTCTATGGAGACAGCTGACTCAGCACCAGACAGCAGGCTGCCAGTGTCCACCACACATCCCTCTAAGAGGCTCACCTAAGAAGGCACATACGCCTGCTGCAGCTGAAGCTTCCAGGCCTCCTATGTTGAATATCATCTTGAACGGTCTTAATGAACCACATAATTTCATCTAGAAATGTTACTACATACTGTAGCTACAGAAATTGCCAAAATATTTTTCTCAATAGCTGTAATATTTTAATTGTAATCATAATCTGAATATGCTCCCTCCATTGTCTAGCTCTTTGGACCTCTGTCACCAATCAGGTGGCTGTGTTTGTGTAGAGCTTTTGCTTTGTTCTGTGTTCTGTTCCACTGGTCTAAGTGTCTATTCCTCTACCAAAGCCACAGTTAGGAAATGTCGAAGAGAGAAGGTGACCTAATAGATTTATATCCTCCAAAAATAGAGGAGAAGTTATGAAAGGTTTATTTTTATTACCTGTAATTTTTTTAATGAATGCTATACTATTTTGTGTTTGTTTAATTTTATCTGCAGCATATTTCGAGAGGTGGAAGAAATATATATCTTGGTTGTAGGAAAGATGATTCTACATTTTATTAAATATTTCCAGTTTGCTTTTTAATTGTAATGACATTTGTAAACTTAATCAATGTTTTTTTATCTTCTTACATTTTCCTATATGTTAATAAGGTGGAACATCTTTTGTTAGGTTTGAAAATGTAGCTCTCTTCTTCTGTGTGTATTTTGACTTGCATTCAGCAAAGTTCCGGACTATCACTCCTAATAGCTGACTCATAGGGTGTGTTGGTTTCTCTATGTAGCTAACAGTATTTACAATAATAACTGACTTTTTTCCTCTTCCTACCCACATTTTATGCTCCTTATATATTTTTCTATTTTTTTCTATGCTAAGACCTTCATTTTGAGGTAGAATAAAAGCAGCAATAAAGGGCCTTCTTTTTCTAAATTTTAAACACAATTTAATGTTTTAAAATAAGCCACCCTTTCATTCTGCTGACAAACTATACATTCATGGGTTCATTTTGCTAATATGTATGCACGTAGGCTATTTGCATGTGTTTATACAAGAGATTGACCTGTAATCTCCTTTTTGGGATGGCCTCATTTTGGTATCGAGCTTATGCTTGTCTCAGAAAATGAACTGAGGTAATTTTCTTCTTTTTCTATTGTACGAAAGAACTGGATGAAAATGCAGGTTATCTCTGCCTTAAAGACAGGTTAAATCATTTGGGTCATTTTGTTTGTTTGTTTTTATTTCTGGTCTATAGATTTTTAAAAACTGATTTAATTTATACAATGATTGCATAAATTGGTTCATTTTCCACTTCTTCTTGAGTCACTTTTTGTAAGTTATATTGTTCTAGAAATTGTCAATTTCTCACGTCTTTCTTCACCTTTCCTCTTTTCTTGTTTCATGTCTATTAATTAATAGCATCATTTTATTTTCTTCCTTCTTTTTTTTGTTTCAACTTTGTGTGTGTGTGTGTGTGTGTGTGTGTGTGTGTTTTCTAAATTCATGTGCCAGATACTTCGCTTATTGACTTTAAAACTATATTCTTTTCTAAAATGTATTTAAAGTTAATAATTTATTTCTATGAATTGCTTTAGTTTTATCCACAAAATTGTGATGGATCTCCTTTCATCAATGGTTAATTCTAAAAATGTATTATTTCTGTGATGTTTTCTTCTCTGAACCATGCTTTATGTAGAATTGGCTTTGTAAGTTTCTGAACATATGGGGAGGTATGGTTTCATTTCTTTAGTTGATATTCCATTTTCAATTATGTTAAGAAAACGCCTGTGTAATTTTGGTTCCTCAGAATTTATTGAGATTTGCTTTGCTTTATGGCCTAAGAGACAGTTAATATCATAAATCATCTATGAATTCTTGGAAAAGAATGTTTCCTGCAAATTGTCTGCAAGTTTCTATAAATGTACTTAGATCAAATTTTCTGTGCTCTTAGTAATGTTTTGCCTCTTTAGCAATCACAGAGAGATTTGCTTAAAAATCTTGAACACTGAGAGTACCATGGCCACAGGAAGATTTTTATTCTAGATGACATGGGGCATTTCCGGTAGTTGTACAGCAGAATAAATTTACATATTCTTTTTTTTTTTAGTTCATTTTCCTCTTCACTTTACTCTTTATATTTCTAGTTAGTTATAACATAATGTCTCGACATCATGACACAGTGCATAGGGTCCTCCAAACCAAGGTGCATGGAAACCATGTGTGTATATATATGTGTGTGTGTGTGTGTATATATATATGATATATATATGCTATATATGATATATATGATATATATATATCATATATATGATAGTATACATATATATCATATTATATACATATATAATACACATATATACACACACATACACAAACACATCTATTTAGATGTCTAGGTATAGATATATAACTAGATGTCAGATATTTCCTGGCTTTCAAGTTTAGTCCTACAGAGGTACGCACTCGCTGAGCAGGGGCTTCTGGCCATAAACTTTTATCTGGAATTGCAGGATAACCATATATGTAGAATCCCTGCCACCTCCCTTGCCCCCCTAAAAAAGTGTAACACTGGAGATAAGAAATCCATTACAAAGATGAGCTTCATGACACTGCCTCAGGCCAGATAATTTTGTAAGGAAAAGCAGTTAGATGGGAACACGGTGTCATCTTGCATTTCTGTAAGAGCAGGACTAAGCATTTATCTGCCACATGTTAAGTGCTGGATTAGGTCCTAATAAAGAGTGTGATATTTCTTCCATCAACATAATTGTCCGTTCTGCAATTTCATTCAACAACAACAGCAAAACTATTGACTACCTCCTGTTCCAGAGGCTGAAAGTAAGCAGGGGAAGAAACAGCCCAAGTTCCTGCCTTTATGGGGCTTACTAAAGCAATAAGAAAATATATAGAATTGTATTTTAGGAAATCGATTAGTATAGATATTAGTATAATGTACGGTTGAAGGATAGTAATTGATATTGTAGGAGAGCCGTGTGTGGTGGTAAATGCCTGCAGTCCCAGCTACTTGGGAGGCTGAAGTGGGAGAATCACTTGAGGCCAGGAGTTTGAAGCTGCAGTGAGCTATGATTATGCCACTGCACTCTAGCCTGGGCAACAGAGCAAGACCCCATCTCTAAAATAAATAAATAATTAGATAGGTAGCTATTGTAGAAGTATAAGAGTGATAAATACTAAGGAGAAAAATAAAGCAAGCAATAGGAATTGAAGTGTTTTTCAGGGGACATTTGCCTTGTTAAAAGGGAATTTTGAGTGACCCCCATGAGGAAGGGTATCTGTTGACCAGTCTTTAGCTGTCAGAAGTCCACTTGTTCCAACGTATAGTTTAAATCCATTGTTTCTTTGTTGACTTTCTGTCTTGATGACCTGTCTAGTGCTGTCAATGGAGTATTGGAGTCCCCCACTATCATTGTGTTGCTGTCTAATTTCTTAGGTCTATTAGTAATTATTTTATAAATTTGGAAACTCCAGTGTTAGGTACATATATATTTAGGATTGTGATATTTTCCTGTTGGGCAAGGCCTTTTACCATTATATAATGTCTCTCTTTGTCTCTTTTAACTACTGTTGCTTTAAAGTTTGTTTTTTTCGGATATAAGAATAGCCACCCCTGCTTCCTTTTGGTGTCCATTTGCATGAAATGCCTTTTTCCACCCCTTTACTTTAAGTTTATGTGAGTCCTTATGTGTTAGGTGAGTCTCTTGAAGGCAGCAGATAGCTGGTTGGTGAGTTATTCTACATTCTGTAGTTCTGTGTCTTTTAAGTGGAGCAATTAGGCCATTTACATTCAATGTTAATTTTGAAATGTGAGGTATCATTGCTTACATCATGCTTGTTGTTGCCTGTGTACTTTGGTTTTGTTTTTTGTTTTTGCTTTTTAACTTGTATTTTTGTTTTATGGATCCTGTGTGCTTTATGCTTTAAAGAGGTCCTGTTTTGATGTGTTTCCATGATTTAAATCTCCTTTTAGCAGTTCTTACAGTGGTGGTTTGGTTATGGCAAATTCTGTTAGCATTTGTTTGTCTGAAAACAACTGTATCCTTCCTTCATGTATGATGCTTGGTTTCTCTGGATACAAAATTCTTGGCTGATAATTGTTTTGCTTGAGGAGGCTGAAGATAGGTCCCCAAGCCCTTGTAGCTTGTAGGGTTTCTGCTGAGAAATCTGCTGTTAATCTGATAGGTTTTCTTTCTTAGGTTACCTGGTGCTTCTGTCTCAGAGCTCTTAAGATTCTTTACTTCATCTTAACTTTAGATAACCTGATGACAATGTGCCTAGGTGATCTTTTTTGTGATGAATTTCCCAGGTGCTCTTTGTGCTTCTTCTATTTAGATGTCTAGGTCTCTCTCAAGGCTGGGGAAATTTTCATCAATTATTCCTCCATATATGTTTTCCAGTTTTTCAGAATTTTCTTCTTCCTCAAGTACACTGATTATTCTTAGGTTTGGTCATTTAACATAATCCCAGACTTCTTGGAGGCTTTGTTCATATTTTCTTATTCTGTTTTCTTTGTCTTTGTTGGATTGGGTTAATTTGAAGACTTTGTCTTCAAGCTCTAAATTTCTTTCTTCTACTTGTTCACTTCTATTGCCGAGACTTTCCTGAGCATTTTGCATTTCTAAAAGCATGTCCAAAGTTTCCCAAATGTTTGATTGTTTTTTCTTTAAGCTATCCATTTTCATGAATATTTCCCCTTTCATTTCTCATATCAGTTTTTGGATTTCCTTGCATTGGGCTTTCACTTTCTCTGGTCTCTCCCTGATTAGCTTAATAACTATCCTTCTGATTTCTTTTTCAGGTAAATCAGAGACTTCATCTTGGTTTGGATCCATTGCTGATGAACTAACGTGATTTTTTTGGGATGTTGAAGAGCCTTGTTTTGTCATATTACCAGGGTTGGTTTTCTGGTTCCTTCTCATTTGGGTTCCTCTGTCAGAGGAAAGGTCTAGGGCTGAAGGCTGTTGTTCAGATTCTTCTGTCCTATGGGGTGTTCCTTTGATGTAGTACTCTCCCCATTTTCCTATGGATGTGACTTCCTGTGAGCCAAACTGCAGTGATTGTTGTCTCTCTTCTGGGTCTAGCCACCCAGTGAGTCTACCCAGCTCCAGGCTGGTACTGGGGGTTGTCTGCACAGAGTCCTGTTACATAAATTGTCTATGTGTCTCTCAGCCGTGGATAACAGTACCTGTTCTGGTGGAGGTGGTGAAGGCTGCAGTGGACTGCATAAGTGTCCTTGGCTTTGGTGGTTTAATATTCTATTTTTGTGCTGGTTGGCCTCCTGCCAGGAGGTGGCATTTTCCAGAAAGCATCAGCTGTAGTAGTGTGGAGAGGGACTGGCAGTGGACGGAACCCTAGAACTTCCAAGATTAATGCCCTTTGTTTGCCACTACCAGGGTGGATAGGGAAGGACCATTAAGTGGGAACAAGGCTAGGTGTGACTGAGCTTAGACTCTCCTTGGTTGGGTCTTGCTGTGGCTGCTTTGGGGGATGGTGGTGAGATTCCCAGGTCACTGGAGTTGTGTACCTAGGAGGATTATGGCTGCCTCTGTTGAGTCATGCAGGTTGTCAGGGAACTGGGGGAAAGCCGGCAGTCACGGGCCAGGCAAACCTAAGGGCTGATCTCACTCCCACCGTGCCCCACAAACCAACAGCCCTGAGTCTGTTCCCAGGTGGAGGGCAAGATGGGTTTGAAAACTTGCCCGAGGCTATCCAACTTCCAGCTGCAAGAGAAAAGGGCTTTAGTTCTTTCCCTGCCTGTGAAGTCTGCATGCCTGATTCACACCCTCCCCCGAGTTCTGGCCAGGATGCTTCTCATCCTGTTAAAAAATGTTACAAAGTTCAGCTAGAGAATTCCTTCTCCCTCTGGCCACCCTCCCAATGAATCCCTGTGGTGCCAGGCAGGAATGGGCTGCTTGGGGACACAGTGAGCTCCCAGGACCTTTCTGCTGCTTCCTCTACCCATGTATTTTGCTCAGCCCTCTAACTTGACTCAGCCCCAGGTAAAGTTGGAAACTTCTCCCACAGACAGACCTTCACCTTCTCCAGTGGGGGTGTGTGTCTGGGAAAGGAGGGTCTCTCTTTCCCTCTTCTGCAGTTGGGGCACTCATAGTATTTGAGGTTTCTCCCAGGTCCTGCAGGAGCAGTCCTCTTCTTTCAGAGGATCTGTGGGTCCTCTCGGGATTGCTGGTTTCTTCTTGAAGTCAATCTGGAGCTAAAATTCACAATGCAAGCCTCTACATGCTGCTCTGTCCGCAGCTGCAATCCAGTCCTGCCTCCTGTCCACCATGATCCCCTGAATCCCTGTGTTATCTTATAGATTCTTTCTTTATTTTTTTTTTGAGATCAACTGGTCATATTATATATCTTATCGATTCATAGACATATACGTACATGACACAGCTGACCCACTTGGACTTAGATTAAAAGAAAGTCAAAATGCGCAATAAATTTTCAGATTACAAAAGAATCAATTTATAAACTAATGTTTTAGATCAAAACATGGGGAATTATTTAGCAAAAATACATTAAAAATCAAGATTTGAGACATGAATGGACTTAAAATTTAACAATTATGGTCTTTGAGTTTTCCAAATCATAAAGGAAAATAAGAAAATTGATTTAAGAGCCACCCTCTACATTCCCTCTTGACAGCCTGTGAGGGAAAACTCAATGAATCATGATCTGTCACTGTGGATTTTTTAAAAGTTAATTGAAAATTTCACCAAGAGACGCTTCTTAAGAGTTACAAACTAGAGGACTGCTATGTTTATTCAATTATCCTCAGCCATCAACTGCTGGCTAATCAACACATGGCACTCTGTGATGTTATTTGTTTTAATTCTTTAGGCTTTTTTTTGTGGCCCTGTTGATCCCCTGGGCACCTAATGACAAGCCAGAAAAGTCACAGAAGTCAAAGTGTCACAAGTATCAAAGTCAATCAATCAAGCCCTGTGCAGTTTTCTACACAGATGTGAAAGCAGAAGACAGTTATGGTTCTTTATTAATGAGCTTTCTCATACAATCTGTTTCTGGCAGTGATCATAGCTTTTATCAAATAAGTGTACTCCAGAGCAATTTGTCATCGTTTCAGAACCACTGTTGTCTATTTGCGTTTAGGTTACTGGACAGGGAATATTTTATGTATAGTTAGTTGATATTTCTCACATCACTTTTATGAATACTTATGAAGAGTCTTATGAAAACATATGATACTAAAACGTATAGCTTCTGTCAAATGCAAATAAATGAACACAAAATCCCCCAACATGGCTTCTTTTTCTTCCTACATCCTATGTAAAAGTACTTATATATTCAATACCTGGCATTAGAGAATCATGGTGCTTTGGTTTGTTTCTTCTCTATGGAGCATTTTTTATTCTGTTTGTCTAATTGCCTCTTTAACCTTAGACAAGTCACAACCTCTCTCAACTTGGTTTTCTTTATATGCTAAACAGGGATGTTTATGCTGGTGCACCTGGCGGCTGTGAGAATAAAGACTTGGAAAGTGTCACAAGAAACAGAAGTGGAAATAGTGTTGTCATGACTTGTTGTTCCTTCAAAGGACCAGGGCATCTTTCCAAAGATGAACTATACCCTTAGTATATAATCTTCTTGGATATGGCATATGATCAACCACATTTTGTGCATGCATAGTTACTTTAACCTCCTTGAGACCTGATATCATAAATAGCTTAAGAATATATAAACACATCTGAATCTGTGTTTGCAAGCCAGCTTCTAGAATTTTTAATGCTTTAACATTGATTTTCTGCCAATAGTAAAATTTTAACCTAGTGGTAAATATAAGTGTTTATACAATTCCATTACAGGTGCTTTGACTGGTGTTTATAGGAAGTAGCCTTTTGAAACAAGGGGGATATTTTAAGTTTCAGAAATGGGAATTCACTTTGTTAATCACTATATAAATAAAACAAGAACCGTAGCAGCCAAAATTCTCTCCACAATTTTGAGAAATATCTCTGTGCCAACCCTCAGTCTTTATACTTAACCACAGGTTTCTTGGAAATGAATGTCACTGATGATGAGAAAAAGAGTTTAGCAATAAATTAATGAAAAATGTCCACTGTATCATATAAGGAGTTGATAGCACATATATTCTCCTGTTTTCCCCACTCTGTTGCCCAGACTGGAGTGCAGTGGTGCAATCCTAGCTCACTGCAACCTTAAACTCCTGGGCTTATGCGATCCCCCACCTCAGCCTCCAAGCAGTCGGGACTATAGCCACATGCCACCATGCCTAGCTATCTTAAAAGTTTATTTATTATTTATTTATTTATTTATTTTTGGAGAGATGGGGGTCTTCCTATTGTTGCCCAGGCAAGTCTTAAACTCCTGGCTTCAAGTGATCCTCCTGTCTCAGCCTCTCAAATCACTGGGATTACAGGCTTCAGCCATTATACTTGGCAGCATATATATTCTATTACCTTAAATTAACAGCGTCATGATTAGTCATCATGATACGCAAAAGCAAATCTATTAGGTTGTTCTGAAAAAGTTTGGAATGATTTTATGCCAACATTTAACATGCAAAATTAGTATTACTCAATTAGAAGGAACTTGACACAGTGATGAAATCTGGAGGCTTTTGGGATGGATTGAAAGAAACAGGAAGAGATGGATGGTTAGTAATTGTGTTGAGCTTAACTACATATGCATGTCTAATTCCATCATTTGTTTTATTACCACAGAATCTTGAGAAACACACGAACTATTTTTCCCCAATCTATAAAAAGGGCTTTGGATTTGCAATATCAAGTGCAAGGAGAATTGTTGCATTTATGACCTGTGCAATGGACAATATAAAATCAAGTGTGCTGTGGTGCACACTTATAGTGGTTATAATAATAGGTCTGGTGACGCTCCCCTTGCATTTCTTCCAGGTTGCTTTCAGCTATGTAACGTTTTTCGATCCCATGAGATGGAAATCGACCAGTGCTTGCTAGAGTCCCTTCCCCTTGGCCAACGGCAGCGTCTAGTGAAGCGCATGCGCTGTGAGCAAATCAAAGCCTACTATGAGCGCGAGAAGGCTTTTCAGAAGCAGGAAGGGTTCCTGAAAAGGCTGAAGCATGCGAAGAATCCGAAAGTTCACTTCAACCTCACGGACATGCTACAGGACGCGATTATCCACCACAATGACAAAGAAGGTACATGATAAGAAAGAAGGACCCGTTTTCTGATGTGATTTTTCATGATTGATTTTTGTTGGTTTGTTGTTTTTTTGATGGAGAGATGGGGCAGAAAAGTCCTTTTAAATATTGGAGGCTACTATCTTTTAACTGTTTGTATTATTCAAGAAAAAAATGCTCTTTGCAAAGAACATCATTAAAAGTCCTACCACCTAGTAAGATAAAAAAATGTAAAAATTGTGGTGAGATTGTATTTTTTTTTTTAAAGAATTAGCTATCAGTAAAGCAAGTGAGTTCCTTTCCAATTGTTTAATTCTAATTGTTAGGGAAACTTTTTATCAATGAATTTTTTTTTCTATTTAGAAAATTTTTATAGAGACAGGGTCCCACTATGTTGACCAGGCTGGTCTCGAACTCCAGAGCTCGAGCAGTCCTCCAGTCTCAGCCTCCCAGAGTGCAGGAATTACAGAGAATTGTTTTTCCTGATGATGATTTGGGGCTATGGAATTTGTTCATCCTTAGCTCATGCTTTGATAGATGCAGCAGTAATGTCACTTTCCCCGACTCTCAGGAGTCAATTTCTTTTCTCCCTTAAAGTTGTTTGGCTTGTGGTATCATGTTTTTCTAAGATTACCCAATGCAAATCTCAATTGTCTTCACAAGACTGTTAAATTTTTTCACTTTTTATATACTCTTGTATGTGAATTTTTCTGTTTTCCTATATAGAACCCACTTTCCCAAGTTCAAATGTGAGATAAATGTTCCAGCTCTGGATGTAATTGTTGTAATTGTACAAGGCTTCAAAGAAACAGATATAAATCAATTTACCTTGACTGGCTCTCAAATCAGTATTTGGATGAATCTAAAATGAGCATCTTCACAATTCATTACTCACAATTTGGAATCCAAAAAGCTCCGAAGCCGTTATTTTGATAGCTCATTTAGTGGCAAAACTTTCACTGACCTACTTATGGTTTATAACCTGTTCAGTTTGGAAAAATAATAAATTCAATAACATATGTGCTTTGAAGGCTTTCAAATGGGGATTGTGGATCTATAGCTAAGAAAACCTATAGCACATTATATACAATAATAGTTATACATGGTAAGAAGACTCAAGTCATTTTTTTCATGGTTTTGTATGGGCTTTTTCTAGTTAAACTGTAATATTCTGAGAATTTCTGTTTTGTTTTTTTTTTTTTTTTGTCTTAAACTGCAATGACAGTAACAGTGAATCTTTGAGCTGGAAAGTACCTAAAAACATTTGGTGTGATCCACTTACTTTACCCATGAAGGAACTGAAATTCAGCCATTGTATCATATTTTCTGGAAAGCTGTCTGGAGCACTCTGATCTTTCATTTTATTATTCTCTTCTCACCTATGGCTGTTCATTGAATGGCCATCTCCTCTGTGAGTCTGTGAGCACATCGAAGGTAGGGAGAATGCCCATTAGGGTCATTGCTCCCTCCTGCCCATCTCATACCTTCCAGCAGCATTGAGCAAAAGAGAGTAAAGTGATTGGTTCTTGTTCAACACACAGTAGTTGTTACAACAAACTTAAATAAGAAAGCAGATCTTAAAATTTAAGCCCTATTTTGATTTAAAAGTAACAAAACACAAAAAATAATTGGTGCCAGGTATGGTGGCTCATACCTATAATCCCAACACTTTGGGAGGCATAGGTGGAAGACTCTCCTGAGGCCAGGAGTTTGAGACAAGCCTGGGCAACATAGCAAGACCCCATCTCTACAAAATATTTTTTAAAATTAGCTGGACCTGGTGGTGCATGCCCAGCTACTCAAGGAGTTGAGGTGAGAGGATTGTTTGAGCCTGGGGATTAAGGATATAATGAGCCATGATGGTGACCTGCACTCCAATCTGTGCAACAGAGCAAGACCCTGTCTCAAAAACACTTCTTTTAATGTATTGGAAATGTTTTAAAATTTCTTGTACCAAATATCTACAGTGCACCATTGTGTTTAGGTTAGGGTTAAAAGAAAACTCATAGTAGTAAATTACTAACTAAAAAGCCAAGAAGCAGTTATTATATAAGTTACGTTTCCCCAAACATTCATGTCATACAATCTGAATTAATGCTTTCTAAGCAGATGTTGTAGGTGTGAAACTATGCAACCTAGTTTCTGGTGGCAAGCTAGGCAAGAGATGATGGTGGCTTGGACCCAAGCGGAGCTAGGGTGTGGTGAGAAATAGTCAATTTTAGGATTTATTTTTAGGATAGAGCTGACAGGAAATGCTGATTACCTGGCTATAGGGAGTGTATTGATTTTCTATTGCTACCAAAACAAATTATCACGAATTTAATAGTGACAAACAGCGTAAGTATTACCTTACAGTTCTGTAGGTCTGAGGTGAGGTATGGGCTTCGGTGAGATGAAAACAAGGTGTCATCAGCACTGGTTCAACAATTCCAGCTTCCGGAGGCCACCTGCCTTCCTTGGATCAGAGCCCCCTCCTCCGTCTCCAACATCAACAGTGATGGATACGGGGCAGGGACAGTGCTCCTTCTCACGCTTCAGTTTGCCTGTTTCTTTGTCCATCCTTGTATCTGACTGAATCTTCTGCCTCCCTCTTGCACCTTTAGGGGCCTATGTGATGACACTGGGCTCTCCTGGGCTATGCAGGTTCATCTCCTGTTCCAGAGGCAGCTCACTAGTAACCATGCATCCCTTTCTCCAGATCATCTTGCATAGCCGCAGATGTAACTCCAGAGGGTGAAATCGGGACAGCCAAAATGCTCCCTACTACAGGGAGTGAGAATTCCAGGATAACATCAAGCTTTTGGGGCCTTGACAACTAGAAGAATGAAATGCCATTAGCCACAGTAGGAGTGCCTCTAGGAGTTGTGAATGAGATGGGGTGGCATCCTGGCTGGAGACGTAAATTGAAAACTCATGAGCATATAGATGATACCGAAAACCCCAAAAGTGGTTGAAGTGACGTAGAGAAAGAGTTTAGGTAAAACGATACGAAGTCTAAGAACTGAGTCCCAAGGAATTCCAATATTAATAATTCAGTGAAATGAGGTCCAATCACAAGGAATGACCAGGAAGAAAGGATGAAAATGAGGGAGGGTGCTTTCTTGGGAGCCAAGATGAGTTTTCAAGGAGGAGAAATTTTTATTGATCAAGCAGGAGGAAGCCTGAGAACTGACCATTGCATTTAGGAGTATGGAGGTGATTAGTTTTCTTGACTTGTTGGGAGCAAGAATTTTAATGGATTAGGTTCTGTACAGAGTAGGAAAACAGGAATGGACACAGAAAGTATAAAGAGCTCTTTAAAGGAGGTTTCTGTAAAGAGGAGAGAAATGGAAAGATTACTGAAGAGGGAACAGACGTTAAGAGCTTTTTTTAATGATGGGAGAATTAACAGCAAGTGTATGTGCTGATAAAAATAATTCATTTGCATTTCTCTAATGACCAGTGATGATGAGCTTTGTAGGCCACATAAATGTCTTCTATTGAGAAGTGTCTGTTCATATCCCTCACCCATTTGTTGATGGGGTTGTTTTTTTATTGTAAATTTGTTTAAGTTCCTTGTAGATTCTGGATATTAAATGTGGTACATATACACCATGGAATACTATGCAGCCAGAAAATAGAATGAGTTCATGTCCTTTGCAGGGACATGGATAAAGCTGGAAACCATCATTCTCAGCAAACTAACACAGGAACAGAAAACCAAACACCACATGTTGTCACTCATAAGTGGGAGTTGAACAATGAGAACACACGGACACAGGGAGGGGAACATCACACACTGGGGCCTGTCGGGGGATGGGTGGTAACGGGAGGGAGAGCATTAGGACAAACACCTAATGTACATGGGGCTTAAAACCTAGATGATGGGTTGATAGGTGCAGCAAACCACCATGGCATATGTATACCTATGTAACAAACGTGCACTTTCTGCACATGTATCCCAGAACTTGAAGTAAAATTAAAAATAAAATAAAAATAATTCATGTGAGAGGGAAAATCTGGTGACACTAGAGTAAGAGAAGGCAATTGATGGAGCAAGCCTGTGCACATGCATACTGTGATGAGTTCAGCTGCCCACTGGATGGGCTTGGCTTCAGCTGGGATCACCTCTAGCAGTCATTCTCAATCCTGGCTGTATAACAGAATCACCTGGGAAGATTTTATTTTTTAATTTCCATGTCTAAGAACTGCCCATAAAGATGCTGATGTAATGAGTCTTATATGGGGCCAGGATGGTTTTTAATGGTGCCTAGGAGACTATGGAGTACAGAGAGAACTGAGAACTTCTGATCTAGAGAATGGCAGATGTGGTATGAACCTGTGGTTATTCTCCTCCTGGTTTTGATACTAATCAATGAAAGAACCATGGCCCTTGGCTAACAGTGAGGGTGTGGAAAATGAACTGAAAGTAAAGCAAAGAAGGGAACATGCAAGTATGGGAGAACAAATGGACCAAGGCAAATACTGTATATTTTTAAATGGGACCTATAGAAAAAAAGATATAAAAAATAAGAACTACAAAGAAGGATCAAATGTGATTCAAGAATTTCAGTAATGGTTCGGCATGGACTCACTGCTCCTTTGTCCTTATTCTTAGGACATGAAGAGTTTCCCATCCTGAAACTTTCTATAGTTTTTAGAATACATCTGTCCTTAATTTGTCTTCCCAGAAATTATTTCACATGTATATATGGATGCCATTTTGGTGGAATATAATATAATCTTATCAATAGGCAGTCAATATTTGTTACATAATTAAAATCTGTTGATAACCACAGACGCCTGGCAAGGCTTTCTTAACATGTATTTTTAAGTGTAATAAATGGATAAGTGTATTATGTATAGCAGTTTGTTTATATTATGAATATTGGTATAAAGACACTAAAATCTAAGCAAGCAGTCAGATCTGATTTTTCAATTCAAAAGAAGCAGAGAGTAAATTTTTATTTGAATTAATACATGATTAACTTTTAGTTGTGTTTTATTTTATTTAAGAAATTGCTCTTTTGTGTGTTTCTTTTTTGAATGGCAAAGAAGAGAAAGGACTGGATAGAAAAGTCTCACATTTTGCATGGTGTAATGATTATGTTAAGGTGCTCAAAGTGATAGGAACAACAGGAAGCAGACAAAAACAATCACCCACACACAAACATACACATGTGCACACACACAATGTGTTTTGCATGCTTTCTCTGTGTACACAGCAAACTGTATACACCCTTCCTATATGCTATATTGTTAATGCCTTGTGAGAGAAATAACACAAAAATTTCTGAAGATATCGGAGGGAAATATCCTCAGCAAGGCAACCTATATAATTTCATCTCTTTTAGTGAATAGTTTCCATTACTAATGGAAGCAGAAGTGATGGACTATAGTGAAGGTCATCTTCAGCATCAAATGATGAAGAAATAGTTGACTCCTAGAACTCAATGAAAGAGTCTGAATTTGTAACAATTATTATAATTTCAAATGCATTATTGCAATGTAAAAATTAAAATATTTGGCTCTAGAGGGTGTCTGTTCAGCTCAGTCTGCTATATCAAAATATCACAGACTAAACGGCTTACACAGCAGACATTTATTTCTCACAGTTCTGAAGACAGGGAAGTCCAAGATCAAGGTACCTGGCTTGCTGACAGCCACCTTCTTGCTGTGTCCTCACATGGTGAAGAGGAAGCTCTGATTTCTCTTCTTTTAAGAGCACTAATCTTATCATGGGACTTCATCTCATAAACTCATCGAACCTAATTCCCTCCCAAAGGCTACAACTCCTAATACCATCACATGAGGGTTAGGGCTTCTACATATGATTTTTGAGGGAAAGGAACATTTAATCTGTAATAGGGCATATTTATTTGGTACTTGGAGCTGACCCAAGTATAAAATAATGGATATACATATATTACTTCCCTTGAGTTTCTCATCTACCTTGGAAATACCCTCGTGAGTACTCATATACCTCACTGTGCTAGGGGAAAAATATGAATTTCTTACAATTTAAGAAATTTGGATTGCAAATGAAAGTAATCTCTTTAGAAACAGTATAACGTCTCTAGCATATGTATTACTTCTCCCAAAAATGCACATAAGAAAAAGTTTTCACTTCATAGTGGTGATATTTTTATTTATCTTTAAGCTATTGAAATAGTCAAATGCACTTGTTTATGCAATTGAGAAAGTAAAAAAAAATTGCCATAAGAAAAAAGTTTCCATTTAAATTATTGTTTAAACTTGCAGATTGTATATTTGTATGAAATTTTATCTCTTATTTCCAAGTACTTTTATTGGCTGGCTGAGTATAAAGAATCAAATATACTTTTTCAAAGGACAATATGTCTGTGGTTTTTTTCATGTTAAGGTTTATAGTATGTCATTTAAAAGTAATTCAGGATTTTTTTTGCTTTATAAATGTATTTTTTTGTCAGTGTAAATTTAGTGTCTTTGATGTTTTTATTGTTCTGGGAGTTGGTGATATTTCAGTGTGTAATTTGTCATTTTAATATGCTGCATCAATCTAAAATGTGTTCAACAACTCTTTTTCCCTCTAAAAGGAAAACTGTCCTAAATTTTCTTTTAAGGCTGTAAATTCAACTCTATTTGAGTTACGCCACATGAAAGAAAAGGGAAGTCTGAGGGAGAGAGAGATAGAGAAATAGAGTGAGTGGGTGACTTAAAAATCAGAGAGGAAGTACATAGGGAAAATTTAAGAAGGAATGTGAATTCCCCTATTGGAATTGCCACTCCCAAATATTGCTTCGTACTAATTAGTCCACAATGTGTTTCCATTAAAAGTAACTGCTGATGTTATTATCTGGTGCCTTGCAGGTATGTTCTGCACTCTCTGAGCTCTACATGCCTTGACTTACTCCTTTCAATAACATATGTAGTAGGTACATATGTTATTGAAAGTAGGTAGGTCATGCACCCCACTTGGTGGGTGAAGCAATGCAGCCTTTGAAGAAGAAACTGCTACCTCAGGGCTTCCTGAGTTGAGAGACCATGTTTTTATAGACAACGTCATACTGCAAAAGTGATTTATGTGGTATAGTTAGAGAAACTTATCTTCACAGGTTGATTTACCTTCCTTGCCATTTGAAATTCTTTATTCCTGCTTTCTAGTGGAGCTCTCTGCCTGCTGTCAAGGGAATGTCCAAAGGCCAGGAGAAGTATTCTTTATGCTTTGGGGTTTTTCATCTTCTTTCCCTGATCAATCCCTCCCCGTTCTTCTTCCTTTTTTTTTTTTTTCAAAAGCAATGTTATTTATTTACTACTTAATATGCCAAATGTTTACTAAGGGCCTGTTTCAGTCCAGTCACACAAAGAACTTGTAAGCATATTTACAGAACTATAATATCATACTTTATTTATATCTCCATTTTATCACAAAATTCTAAGTAATCTATTAGGAAAATTGAAAAATATCAAAATGTAACACTGGGATACCTCTGTTTTCTTCTCCTACTCCTCAGATCCTTGTACCAGCTTCCTTAGTTGGTTACCTCTTCTATTGATCTCAGACTCTGATTCTAACTCTGTTTCTACCTATCTTCCCTGGAAGATCTCATTTTCCCCCACTGCATCGACCTCACCCACTCTAATTATCTTAAATCTGTATCGAGACTTTTTTCCTGAGTTCCAGTCTTAACTTTTCTGATGATGTTGCCTTTATTAATTGTCGTGTTCAAAGCTGAATATAACCACCCTCATCTTCTTCCCAAACCAAAACTTCCTCTGTGATTCTCCATTGATGTGCCATCACTCCCCTGGTCTTCCAGGACAGAAACCTTGAAGTCACTTTGATTTTTGGTGCAATTTTGTAAAGTATTGATGGCTTTACCTCTTCTGAATAATCTACAGGACATATCAACTGTCTGCGTGTCATTCAGAGCCCTCTAAATAGATGCCTAAAATATGTCGATGATCAATATACATTGAATGATGTATTCATTGATAGGCTGGACATCTCTTCATTTAGAAGTTCATAGGTAAATCATTAGGACCAAGCTTTCTCTCCCCTATGTACCCCATTCCCAAAAGTGTAGGCTGAGGTCAAAGAACAAATTTCATATATGCCTTAAGTGTTTTACACATAAAAAAGTGAAATAAGACTGCCCATTTAATTGTGATTATTTAGTCCAGCTGTTTCCTTGTATTTACTAGATTGTCTCAGAAGTTAAAATTCCACAGTAGTTGGTTATCAAGTAAGCTTATTTAAAAAAAAATTATCTCCTAGTATCTAGGGTATAAAGATAGAAGGAGCCTGTTATAATTTTCACAACTAGCATTTAGTGAGTGCTGTTTTTATGAGTGTGACCCATCTGGGCTGGCACTGTTTCCACAGGGGTGGTGATGGCGTTTTATTGGATGCAGCTTTATCCTCTCTCCCTGACCTCCCACAACCAGCTACATAAATTGGCAGTTTGAAAATGCGATGCTCTATAAGCGGATTTAAGCTGACACCTCGGAAATTGAAATCAGAACCCTGCCACCTTTAGAATCCGTCAAATCTACTAGGAACATGACCAAGCCTGGATCCATATACGCATTTTTAAATGAACATTACTGGATGTGATGTATGTTAAGTACTCTGCAAGGATGACTATTTCTCCAACTCAAAATTAGGAGTGTATTTGACATGGAATGTATGTAGACTCTCCCCAAAAGAGTCAGATTTAACCACTACGAATGTCTCCTATATTAGATACTTCGGATTGTAGAGCAAATATAAAATATCAGCCTGTCCTAAGGAAGAAATGGGGAGGCAACATTCCCAGCAAAAACACATTGACAACATGGTGCTGTCTGCATCTTCCCTGTTCCAGAGTGGCACCAAGCCTAGCAGAGAGAGGGAAGTGGCAGCTTCATCAGCGTCACTCCCATTTCATTAACTGCTCAATAGGATGGGAACATACCGCCCTCTGAATGTGAAGCTGTGGATTCATCCTTTCCTCTTAACTTAGCACAGGAGGGGAAGGATGCAGGAAGAAGTAGCTCAGATAAGATGTTTGCTGGGGCAGCTACAAGGTACAAAAGAATGACTTCTGGATTTTAGACAAAAAGGGTGAGTTTTCCAACTCCACATACATACCTACATCAGAGATTTGTATGGTTAAATATGTAGAGCGCAGGCACATGCTGACTCTAGCCCTCCGGGGCAGGTTAGAATTTCACATAGATACATTCAGTGCATTATGATGCCTTCAATTAATAGGGAACAGCTGCTAGGTAATTAAAGATGCCCATTTCCAAATCAGATATAAAATTACAAAAGCTTGCAAATTAATTGCATTTAAATTCTGAAGGATCCTGTATGAAGTGAATGTATGGCTTAATATTTCATGAACACAAATTCATATTTCTAAGAAATATTATTTTAATTGTCTGCTATATAGTCACAACTTTCATAGGTGTTGTGAGAATAATTGAAAAAAGAGGAAAAAAATATACCTAGATGGAAAGATGCACCATTCATTAAAAGGGAGTTGCTGTGGGCATTCACTGGGGTGAGGTAGGATGACACGAATCTGAAACCGTGCTCTCTTCAACATTTTATGAGTTTGGTAGGAAGAGAGAAAGGGACTTTTTGGCTGTAATCAATAGCGTGAGAGCAGCGATGGAGCCGGAAGAAAGCAGATTTCTGATATGAGAACATCATGATAGAAGCAGCATTACTTAGGTTTAGCATCAAGGATCTAACTCTGGAGTTCAGTCTGGGGGTTGATCTGTACTCTGATACTTAAGAGCTGTCTGTCCCCGGCCAGGGCACTTTCTGCACCTCATATTTCTGCAGATAAGGTTACGAGGTAAGTGCTCGTGAAGGTTAGTTGGTTAGATAATACATGCAAATACCTGCAAAGGAAATCTGCCATGTATTGCCACATGCATAATAAATGTTAGCTACTATTATGATTTGAATTAAGAGATATTATCAGAGTCGTAAAGTTGCTAAATAATGACATTGTTATATAATCAGTGATCGTCACCGTGAGTGTAAATTATAGGAATAACAGCATAGCTTTAGGAACGTTTTAGGCAATCATATTTTAAATTATGATAAAATGGAAAAAGGCTGAAGATAGACACATAAGCTAAGGGCACTGATGTAAACAAGATAATGAGAAACAGGAATTTGATAGCACCTTTGGAAATGTATTAAAAGGGAAAAATTTACATTATTAAGGAGCGCTGAGCAATATTTTTATTCATTGTTTTCTGCTAATGTGTGATTATATGTACGCGTGTGTGTGTGTGTGTGTGTGTGTGTGTGTGTGTGCCAGCCATCTCTCTAAACACTTTATACATATTGTCTCATTTAATCTGAAAAGAATCCTATGAGGTACTGTACTGGGTTAAAAATTTATGTCTACTGAGAACTTCTATGATGTGACTTGGAAATGGAGTGTTTGCAGATGTAATCAAGTTCAGATAAGTCATCAGGATCAGGGTGGGTCCCCATCCAAGGACTTGCGTCCATTGAAAAGAAGGGGAGAGTGTGGGCACACACAGAGGGAGGGCAGCATGAGAATATGGACCAAAGCCCATGTGGAGTGAGTGACACTGCTGCAAGTTACGGGACAAACCTCAGCAGCCCCAGAAGCCAGAGGAGAGGCGTGGTTTGTTACTCTGGTAGTCCCAGGGTCAGCAGTTCCCAGAATGGGAAATGTACTTGCTTTCTGCTGTGTCTACTGTGTCTTTGCTCCAGGGATTCCCCAACCCGCCAGGAACACCCTTCCTCCATTCCTTGCAGATGTACCTCTCCTCTCCCCTGCGGAGCCCTCCCCGACATCCTCAGGTGAAACACACGAAGCCCTTCCCCTGCAGCATTGCCAACACGAATTCCTTGAAGTGTAATCTCTGTTTGCGAGCCCATATCTTTCACTAAAATGTGTGTTATGCAAAGAAGAGGATCAGGATTCCTTAATTATTCATTCATTCATTCATGTAGCAAATGTTTATTGAATCCTTGTCATCTTCCATGTACTGTTCTAAGTGCTGGGGATGTGCAGAAGGAGGAGGGGATTCAGGGAAGCAAGAAAAGCTTGAGCAAAGGAACAGTGAGAAAGAATTTTTCTTTCCTGCCCTAATGAACTTCATGATATTTCTATCTCTATTCCTAGCACAGAGACTGTGTATGAGTCAGAGTTCTCCAGAGAACTAGAACCCATAAGGTGCACATGCATGTGTGTGTGTGTGTGTGTGTGTATATATATATATATATATGCATATATATATATATATGCATATATATATACAGGTATATATACAGTGTATACATATATATTCAGGTATATGTGTGTATATATAGGTACAGATACACATGTACATATATGTACCTATGTATATATGATATATATGTATATATACTTACATATACCTGTGTGTATTTATACATGCACATATATATTTATTTTAACCCAGTATTTTTGTATATTTTAGGGAAGGGGGAAGGAAGGAATGAATAATGGGTTCTGCTCTTTATAATTAAAAAATTGTCTCCTGATTTTGTAGTGTCACTTCCTCTGTGTCAATTTCTCGCGCCATACAATGTTATTTCTTAGAGCTGCTCCCTTCTCATAAGCCAGATGTCTAATAAGGATTAATGGCAAAACATGAAATCTGTCATTTCTGTCTCTTCACCATCAAGTTTTGATTAAATTGAAACTGAAAAAAAGCAAACATTTTAGTTAGCTGAATGAATGCTACAGCTCAGGTCTCCGATCCATCGAGTTTTAGACAGTATTGCCATAGCTGGTATAAACCTAGAGTTTTCTGATTTATTGTGCTCACAACAGTCTATGAGAAAGAAGAAGAACTGGCTGGTGATTTTCATAGGAAAAAGGCACAATCTGTCAGCAGCCCAGACTGCTGCTTAGTGTACAAGTGCAGCTGGAAAACAATCTGTAGATGATCACTGCCTCTGACAGTGCCACCATAGTACACACAGAAGTAAAATGTTCTACAGGGAAGATGTAGACGTGCCATTTATAAGATCAGAGAAATCACTTACTGAGTGCAAGAATGGACAGAACAGAATATATTTTCTGGGTTTTTCTCTGAGCCTTTTCAATACACAGAGAATTTCTAAAACTGGACATGCATAAACACTGCTTCATAAAGCAGCATTTGCAAACAGTGTTAAAACTGCCCCACTGGAGCCAGTGCCTCTGACCTTCTCAAGATCATTACTCTTTCAGCCTTTCATGATCCACAGAACAGAATCATATTCACAGAAGGGGAAAAGAATTTTAATGTTTCCCAAAGTAGAAAGAAAAGAAAACCAAACCACCTCCCCTTCATTTCAGTTTCCCTCATAACCAACACGTCTCGGAAGGTGTCTGTACTCATGAGTTCGAACTTCTCTCTTCCATTGTCTCTTGAAAACACCCCTACCAGGCTTTTTCCCAGTGATTCCACCAAACCTGCCTGTAGCAATGATCTCTTTGTTGCCAGGCTCAGAGGGTACATTTTTAGACCTTGTCATATTCATCTACAAGCATCATTGACTCCATTATTTCTTCCTTTTCCACTGACTTCTTTCACTCTGTTTTCTTCAGTTGACTTTCTCTCCTTGGTTTTTCATCTGCTTCACTGATCCTTCCTTCTCAGTCTCCCATGCAGGTTACTCTTCCCCTCTGCAAATTCTAGAGATGGTACCTGTATTGGTTTGCTAGGGCTGACGTAACAAAATACCACAGGCCCAGTGGCTTAAACAATAGCAATTCATGCTCTCAAAGGGCTGCAGGCTGGGAAGTCCAAGGTCGGGGGTCTGGCAAGTTTGATGTCTGGTGAGGGTCTGCTTTCCAGTTCATCAATGGCAGCTTCTTACTAGGTACTCACAGGGTGGAAAGGGCAAGGAGCATTCTGTGGTCTCTTTTATAAAAGCATGAATCCCATTGATGAGCAATCTACCCACAGAAAACCCCAGGTAATCACCTCCCAGAGACCCCACCTCCTAGTACCATCACATTGGGAATTGGGCTTCAACATAAGAATATTTTCTTTAAATACCTCTAGCCTGCTCCTGCCTTGGGGTCTTTGTACTTGCTGACCCAGATTCTGCATGGATCACCATTTGCATCTGTCAGCTCTCCACTCAAATGTTGCCTAATCAGTGAGGCTTGTACTACTGACCTACATCAACCCAACCCTCTCACTGTCTCCACTCACCCGCTTCCTTCTTTTTCATTGCACTTATAACCTTGAAGCAAATTCTTTATTTCCTTGATTTTTTATTGTCTATCCTCTCCCAGGAGACTGTAGGTTTACATGAGTAAGAGCTTTCTTTGCTTAGTTTATACTGTTCCCTGGCTTCTAGAACAACGACTTGCACAAAGTAGGTGATCAATAATATTTGCTCAGTGAGCAAATAAGTAAAGGGAGCCTCTTCCTAAGCATCTTTATTATACGGGGACCCTCAGTCCCCACTGTCATGACCTGGTTGTGGCCATCATAATTTTGCATCTGGTTTATTGCAACTGCCCCTAAACTGATCACATTATCTTCAGTCTTGTCCTCCCTTAGATCCATTCTTCTCTCTCTAATGAAGATAATCCTAAATGTACTGTTCTTGGTTCTGCAAAAAAAAAAATAATAATAATAATAATAATAAATAAAAATAAATAAAAAATCTTGTAATAATGCTTAGTTTCCAAACTTCTTTTCAAGAGAGTAGTCCTTGTTGATCTTTAATCTTTCCAGAATGATTGTTGACATAACCAGACTTCACCCTTCCCATTTCACACCCAGCCCACCTCTCACACCAGCACTTCCCACTGTACCTAGGCTCATTCAGCTCCTCAAGCCTCTTCTGCCATCCCCTATCTAGAACTTTGTATGTTCTAGTCCCAATACTTGCAGCTCTTTCTGTGTAGATCATCCCCATTCATCACTTAGATCCCAGTTTCTGTCTGAGCTCTGAACCTAGAGCACTTCTTCAGAGAAGGCTTTGCTGCCTCCCAGTTTGGTCCCACAGTGCCTGGAGCTGCTCCAATCCCAGCAGATGTCACAGAGTGTATCAGGGCATTGAATATTTGCTTCATTGGATCCAGAACTCACAGCGGGCTCCATGAGAGCAGGCTCTGGCTCTCATCCAAGTGGCTGGATCCCAGTGCCTGGCAGAGTGTAGTTTCTCACATATTACAGATGTTTCAATTACTGTCCATGTTATTTTTTGCATATTTGTTTTGCAAATTAACATAAGATGTCAATTTCTAGATAGCTAGCAACTGTTTCTACAATGCAAAATAAATGAGTTTTTTCCATTCATCTTATTGAATGTCAGATTGCCAGCTGTCTAGTCTATTATTTGCCCACATATCCAAGGTTAATACATGGTGTCTGGATTAACCTCTCCAAAACTCTATAATGCAGGCTTTGCATAGAGTTTGGCATGTTTTAAAAATCATCCACATAGAGAGAGAAGCAAAATTAGCTCTATGAGCACAATCAAGAATGCCACTTTTTAAAACACCTTGAGGCACTTTTTAATCCATAGCTTATGTTTCTAGTTATTATACACATGGAGAAATTGGTCTTACTACTATGCCATAGGACAAGGAGGCATAAGGTTGGTAAGAACCCAAATTTCTTCATTGCATATCTCCTCTCACCATTGTGGACCCCCAGTGGATCCAGCCTACAGATGGGGAGATGAGGGAGTGTATGGGAGAGGTTCAGGGCTTTATTAGGGTCCCAGATTTCATGCATGAACAATGGTGTTGTAGCTTATATTTTGCATTTGTGTAGTGACTTCTTATACATATATAGTGACTTTATTAAAATCTCAATGGCCATTAACAAATTCTTGCCAATATGATTTTTGAGTCAAACATGTCAAATGTCCTTCTCATGGTCTTGGTCTCTTTCATGGGATCATATCCAAATTTTATTTTTCCAAAGTCTGGTCACTGCTCTAAAATTTCCTCTTGCATTTTTAATCAAAAACCATGCAAGCATGTAAAACCATTTATGTCTAACGTGAATGTGTTTTTCCACACACCCACTCTTGCTTCCTCACAAAAATATGCTTCTCTTTCCCACATGTGTGTGTGTGTCAATAATATGGCTATTTTTTTCTAGAAACTTCAGTCTGAAATCTAATAGTTATATTTGATATTCTCTGTATAAACTGACCATGGGTCTTTCACGTCTCCCTTCCAGACTCCACTAAGGAGTTTCAGTAAAAGGCTTTGCTCTTCACCCTGCATGTGACTCGGTGCCTAAAGTGATGCTTGTAACTTTTACATCATCCTTCTCCATTGCCTACTATTCATTTCCAATGTTGTTTCAGCTCTCATTCATTCATTTGTTTGCCAAATATGTTTTCTGTGGCATATATGTGCCCAGAATTGTGTTCTGTGTGGGAGGTTGTACTGAGCCAAGGCAGGTGAGGTTCTTGATTCGTGGAGCTTATGGTCCAGAATAAATACCCGTCCCATTGGTCTTGTTTTTCTCATCTTCCTCATCTTTCTTTTTTTTTCCATCAAGAAGGTGAACATGTGCTCCTTGTTATTACTCTGCTAGTAGTGCTGTTCCACAGCTATGGGGGTGGGGGTGGTAAATAAAGAGAGAGAGAGCCAGAGTTTTGTTTCTCTCCTAAGAGATTTCTAAAGCCATCCATGTTTCTCTTTTATGTTTCTCTCTAAGTCTTGAATGGAATGTAGAAATGTAGTTAGGCATTTGACTTCAGAGACTCTTTATCCGTATAACTACATTGCTATTCATGGTCCTCCACAATCTCATTATTCCAATATGACTTTCCATTTCTCTATGTTATACTCCATAAACAATGGTGCCCCAAGACCGTTCCCAGGACAGCGGCATCCTCCTCATCTGAGAACTTGTTAGAAATGTAAATGATCAGGCCCCATCACAGACCTGCTAAATCAGAAACTGGAGGGTGGGGCCAGGAATCTGTTTCAGTAACCCCCACCACGCTCCAATTTGAGTTAGATTCTAGTGGTTTTCAACTTCACATATTTGCTAAATTACTCTTGGATACCACTGATATTATCCGTTCAGGGGATAGACATGCTAAACATTGTGCAGTCTATGGCACAGTGCTAAACAGAAAAATGCCTGTCCCATTCCAAATGCCTCAATCATCTCTGTTGAGAAACATGATGAATATGATCTAATAGGGACCTTGCCGTTCCTTGAATACAGTGGTTCATTTTCTGCCTATTGTGAGCAGTGCAATGTCAGAGATAACAAGAGGCCCAGGTTTGTGTCTTCCCACAATGTCAGGCTTTTACTGACGTTACTTCAATCACGGGCTGCATGGAATTCCCAGGGAGACAATTCTCGGTGGTGCTTCCCATTCACTTGTAGTCAGAGCCGCGGGCACACAGGCTCAAGCCACTCCACACATCAATCAAGATTGCAAACCATATATACTAGTATATGTAATCAATAGATAAATGCTATAGATTAAATATTCCACAACAAACAAAGTGACATTTAACATCAAGGGGAAAGAAAAAGGGTTAAGGAACCAGTCCAGGGAGAGAGATGTAGACAAAAAGAATATCCTGGTCTGGCCTGGGCAGACCATGAGTCGTGCATGGAAGGGTCAGTGATGTGGGCAGAGCCTTCGGTGGTAGATTCTGGGTGCTTATCACAAGGGACAGTAAGATAGTGTCTGTTAAGAGGCCGTTTCGAGCTGCTGAAGTCTTGCTCTTTTTATGGGCAAGAGTCCCCTGGTTAGGACTGATAGTGGAAGAATGTGCTTGGTCATGTCTTTATCTGGCTGGATGCATCTTTATTGATCAGGCAAAATATCTGATCCCTGCTGGCAACGTGCCTTATGAAATGTAAGATAGAGTCTTTTTCTAAGATGGAGCCACTAATGTCAAGGGTGCTGTATAAATGGCCTCTGTGTGTTTCCTCTTTCTGTTTCTCATCCTTACCCCCATCTCAAAATATCTAAATTCTATTCATCTTAATGCCTGAATTAAATAGTATCTCCTTCAGAAATCTCCCCTGGTTTCCTCAGCTGAAGGAGTTGTATTTCTCTTCTGTACGCCTACAGGCATTTTATCTGTGGATCTATAATTCACTTATTTATACAATTATGATTCAATTCTCGATATAAGTGCCTTATCCTTCCCACTTTAAGCAACTCAGATGTGAGATTATGTCCTCAATCATTTACAATCCCAAGCAGAGTTGCTGGCTTGTGACAGGCTCACAGGAGAAGCTTCCCTTTCCTTCCTTCCTCCTGTTCTATAGTAGCCTTTGACGACAGACAGTAAGAATTACTGATTAATTTAGCAATTTGCCAAAAAAAAGAAAGAAAGAAAGAAAAATACCCAAACCTTATAGTCCATGACCTAACTCTCATGGGAAGCATTTACAAGCGGGAAATCTGTGTCTGATAAATGAGCTGCTTTATGCAGAATTGGTGTGTTATCTGAGAAGCTCTAACTGGGCTAAGCACTGCCGCGTGATTGTGGAAGCCATTTTTGAATACCCTGGGACAACATAGATTTGACAACTGCCTCTGTTTCCTTCTCAATTGAAAATTATTCTATAAAGAAAAAGAATTACCTTCTTGTTCTAATAAAAATAAAGATCACAAACACAATTTTACATCCCATTTGAATTGTAGAAAGATAAGGTTTAGCATTAAGCCTGAGAATCTGGGGCCCTGGTGTGTGTCCCCTGAACTTCTTTTTTGAGTGGGACAGATGATAGGAAGAAACATGCTTTATGCCTCTGGCGATTCTGAAGGAGTAAGATGTGTTGCCTTCTTTTCGTTTTTAGAAACAGTCTCGCTCTGTCGCCAGGCTGGAGTGCAGTGGCGCGATCTCGGCTCACAGCAACCTCCGCCTCCCGGGTTTAAGTGATTATCCTACCTCAGCCTCCTGAGTAGCTGGGATTACAGACATGTGCCACCACACCCAGATAATTTTTGTATTTTTAGTAGAGACGGGGTTTCACCATGTTGGCCAAGATGGCCTCGATCTCCTGACCTCGTGATCCGCCCGCCTCGGCCTCCCGAAGTGCTGGGATTACAGGCGTGAGCCACCGCGCCTAGTCAGATGTGTTGCCTTCTTAGATGCCACAGGAGGGGTGTGCAGGCTGGATTCCAAGCAGGGGCAACCCCTAGGGCATTCTCTTTTCATCTTATGAGATTGTTTCAAGCATGAAAGGTGTGTTTTGGCTTGTGTCTCCTTTTAGCAAGCCTGGGTTAGTTTGGATCCACTGAGAAGTGAACACAAAGAGGAGGTTAGATATACAAGAGATCTGTGAGGGCAACACCAGCAAGAGGAAAGGGGGTATGTGCTATTGTGATAGAACAAGATATATATCTCTTATTGTGTGTGTATATATCTGTATCTGTGTCTATTTGTGGATCTGTGGATCTGTATATATATTTGATCTCTGACCTTAGTTTCTGACACAGAGTTCCTATCTGAGGCAGAGCTCCTAATCCCTTGGAATTTCCTGGGTGATAGGGACATGTTTTGTTCTAATAAGGGAGCCCCTGGTGGCTTCTGGCTGGGGGTTGGTCACCCAGCCATGATTATGAGCTTGGAATTCTCAGCCCCAACCCCTAAACTTTGGAGGAGGAAGAGAAGTTGGATGTTGAGTTAATAAGCGAACATGCCTATGTAACGAAGACTCCATAAAAACCTCTGAACTATGGGGTTTAGAGAGTTCCCGGATTACTGAACACACTGGGGAGCTGTGAGGGCCGCCTGGTGAGCCTGGAAGCTCCATGCCTGGCCCCAGACCCGCCTTATGTGCCTCTTTGCCAGCTGTTCATCACTCTGTGTTTTAGTACCCTTTATAGTAAATGGTAAACGTAAGTCAAGTGTTTCCCTGAGTTCTGGGAGTTGTCCTAACAAATTATTGAACCCAAGAAGAGGGTCATGGGAACCACCCCAATTTTTTTTTTTTTTTTGAGATAGAGTCTCGGTCTGTTGCCAGGCTGGAGTGCAGTGACACGATCTCGGCTCACTGCAACCTCCACCTTCCGGGTTCAAGCCATTCTCCTGCCTCAGCCTCCTGAGTAGCTGGGACTACAGGCGCATGCCACCATGCCCAGCTAATTTTTGTATTTTTAGTAGAGATGGGGTTTCACCATGCAGGCCAGGATGGTTTCGATCTCTTGACCTCATGATCCACCTGCCTCGGCCTCCCAAAGTGCTGGGATTACAGGTGTGAGCCACTGCACCCAGCCGAGAACCCCAATTTGTAGCTGGTTGGTCAGAAGTACTGGCTACAACCTGGGGCTCAGAACTGGCATCTGAAATGGGAGGAGTCTTGTGGGACTGAGCCCTTACCTGTGTATTTACCTGTGTTAAATTGAATGGAATTGCTGGTGTCCACTGGCTGATTGCTTGGTGTGGACACAACACCTACGCATGTGATCACAGAAGTGTTTGTGTTGAGTGTTTCAGGTGTAGTAGAAGGAAAACCAGTTGTTTGTTCTTGTTATACAAGGAAGGTCCCAGATGAGGCTGGGAGGGCCTTCAAATATCCCGTTCTGGTGTGATCCTGCTGACGGTCTATATGGCTGCCCAGACTGCTATCACAAAATACCACAGCCTGGGCAGCTTATACAGCAGGCATTTATTTTCTAACAGTTCTGAAGGCAAGAAGTCCAAGATCTAGGTGCCATGTCAGGAAGTTTGGTTTCTTCTGAGACCTGTGTCCTTGGCTTACAGGCAGTGGTCTTCTCACTCTGTCTTCACATGTTCATCCTCTGTCCTTGTGTGTCTGGGTCCTAACCTCCTTATTTGTGAGGGCACCAGGTATATTGATTGGATTAGAGCCCACCCTAATGACCTCAGTGAATTTTCATGAACCTCCTTAAAGACCTTCTCTTTGAATAAACGGTCACTTTCTGAAGTTGCTTCAGTGCAGGAATTTTGGGAGACACAGGTCAGCCCATAGACCCAGAGCAGGAGAGAAGAAAGCAGCAGACCTGGTAGGAAATGTTTCAGGACGTAGCAGAGCTCTAAGAATTCTCCAGTAGGCTGAGGGGTAGTCCTCATCCAGGCAGAGTTGGCTATGGGAGGATCCCACACCTGGCAGGAGTGGAGCCGCCTTGATGAGCATCCCTGTCATACTCAGTCGAGTGGGCTGGGAGCAGCTGGTGATGTGTGGTCAATGTGTGATTCGCACAGCAGCTGGGGCCTGGGCCACTCAGACTTTTTGCTACAGGAGATTTAAGTAGGCCTTTCCATGTGCAGTGCAATCCTTTTTGTCATATTTTAAAAATACTTTAAAGATATCACACGTATTAAAATATCTAAGTATTTTAAAGACAAAGGCCTGTAATATTTACACTGAGAACTGAGATCCAGGTAGGAATATAAGGGCAGGAACTGCAATCGGCACATCCAGCGAAGGAAGCTGTGATGACACCAGGCCAGAACAGGGTCAGGGTCCCAGCCAGGGGATATGGAGGTGATCACACGTCAGCTCTGAATACTCTGATTCAGAGTCACAAAAAGAGACAGGCAATGATCGTTCCTAAAACTAGTTGAGGGCTTAAACCAGAGGAGCGAATGTCTGAACCAAAATAATTCCCTAAATTTTTTATTTTTACTCATAGGAAGTTCTAACTTCCTGAAATGTTACAAAATTGGTGCTGGAAATCATGACGAAGAGAAAAGACAACAATTTTCCTGGTCGATCTGGATGTTCAGCGGCCTGAGGACAATGCCGCAGCAGTGGGAAGAGGGGTGGTGTGTAACTGGGGAGTGAAATGCTTCCTGGAAAGTAGTTTATTTGCTGTGAAGGCAGGGGAAGGCATGGGTCATGGGTGGTACAGCCAACAGCAGCAGCCCAGGCTTGACAGGGTCCTGGAACAACGGCTGCTTACCCCATCAGTCCCCTACGATTCCACCATGGTCAAGAATAATTATCAAGTTCAAATGGTTCTGCTTTGGTTTGGCTGCCTATTCTAAAATTTAAAAGGGAGCTATATAACTTTGCATTGTTTTCAGATAACAAGGATTCACATATAATGACTGATTCCACACAATGGAAGAAGATTATGCAGTTATTAAATATGGATTTATGTTAAGCATAAATATATGCATAGCAAAGTATAATTAGAATATAAATCTCACTTCTCTGTAGATTAGTAGACTAATTGCAGTGCAGTGTCTTCTCGCCAGGGGTTTGATAAATAACATTGGCAGAAGTGGTATGGATAAGCCCCTGGTTCTGGCCTTGTGATTTTCAGTATCCTACATAATTATAATCACACAGTCCCTCCTGTGTGTTCCAGGCTGATGTTTTCTTCACCTTAAACCAGACCAGGCTTGTCACTTCTCCCTCCAGAGCTGATCTACCAACTGCAGAAAAATCACAGCCTCTCATAGTTGCACAAATTTTACTTTAAGATTCAAAATTCCTGTAGCTTCCTGGGTTCTGCTCTGCATTCATTTTAAACCACTCATTTCTGGGCTATATACATTTTCTAAGTCTGTAGCTGGAAGAAGTGGAAAACACATTGAATGTAGAAGGAGAATCTAAAAAGAACTTGATGTATTTGAACAACGCACTTAACCCACAATAGAAAAATGAACAAGGGCGAATGTAAATTCCAAAATACTGATTAGTTAAATAATTTATAAAGTGTGATTTTTTGGGAACAGTGTAATATTAGTGCTACCCTTTCCCAATAAATAAATCCAAAGTTTGCATTGGTAGAAGTACATTATCTAAAACGAGGGAGGCAGAAGGACTGGGATAATAAAATATAATTTGAGAGCCTTGGTGCATCTAGCTATAGAAAGGAGATTCTAGGACAAAGGATATTTGGACTGTGAGAACGATGAGGAGCCTAAAACCATATTACGTGAGGAAGAGGCAGAGTGACTATAGGTTTTTCACTCAAAGAAGAGAAAAGCTCAAAGCAAAATAACTTTGAGTATCTGAAGCATTTGCCATGTAGAGTTTACTCTTAGAGCTTATTCTTCTTATTGTGACTTAGTTTGTTCAGTATTGGAGCTGGGTAAAAGAAGGCCTTTGTAATTCTTTCTCTTGTAAAAAAATAGGAAATTACAAGACCCTAATTACAAGGGCCTTAATTACAAGGGCCTTGTAATTTTTTTTCCCATGTAAAAAATTACAAGAGAAACAGAATGTAGCTCCATGCAAGGAAACAGATTTACACATAGAAAACAGGATGCCCTAGGAGGTCATGAACAAGTCGGAAACGTTAACTAAACTTTCTAAACTTTCTCATCGGTAGGAATAGTACCGATGTGGTAGATCATATGAATACGAATTTGAGGCTTTAAAACTAGAAGTTACAATTCTCATTATTATTTTATTATTTTGTACATAACTGAATTAGTTCATCTTTAAAATTTCACCCGCTATTATCGCCACCCTATTCTCCAGGTTCTTTATACTCAAATGATTACATGCTTGCACTGGAACTGCAGGTTGAGCTAGAGCTGCTCCACAATTCCTGAGTCTGTCAGGAACAGACTTCCCATAGGTTTCTTCATAAATAGATGTTATTTTCAGTGCCAAAGTAGGCGTTAATTTAGGCAGAAAACAGACTTCCTGTGAATTCTTCCTTCTTTTCTCCTGAACTTTTTGTGCAGGTGGGCATTTGAAGGGCCATGGGTTAAAGAATACACAGTTGTATAAATTTATTAAAGTGCTTCATGAAAATATATTTTAGAAAGACCGTCAATTTTGGAAGCAGTGATGTGTGAGTTACAAATGTCACACAGTGTTTTTATGTACCCTAATGGCATGATGCAAGTCAAGTTAATGTCTTTGAGCCTCGGTTTCCTTACTAACCAAGTGGAGTTAGTACTGGCTCATGAGCTTGTTATAAAGATTTGACAACAGCTAAATAATTGTTAAATGGTAGCTTTCTTATGAATAAACTGTCAAGGGATCACTGTAAGTATGTATTGTCTTTATGTTTAATACAAATTATAATTATTACAAGGAAGAAGAGATGATTAAACTATTGCTGTAAAATACTGTGACAATTTTAAAACTTTAGTTGATAATCGTGTTGATATGACAACAATTTGCTTTTCAAATTGAATTTTATTTTCGTAGTTCAAATGCATTTCAAATCTGCTAATCCTAAGAAATAGTTTGTATTTTGAATTTTCCAATTTTTTAATATACCATTATTTTTATCACAAAGAACCTTCAAAAATGCATTGTGGACATTAAAATACATTAAATAGTATAATTATTTAGCTACATTAAATAACTGTACATTTAGTTATCTATGTCCATGTTTGCCTTTAAATACATATACAGACATTTTTAATCATACTTGCTAATTAAACTAATAATTGTAAAGGAACCCACTTTATTATGATATTGTATTATAATAGTTAAATCATTTTACTTGAGTGACCCATAAGGATTTCTAAGTGAATAATAGAGATTTTTATTATCTTTGCAATTATCATATTTAGTAAGAATTCAATTAACTTTCATTGTCAAAACTTAGCTATGCTGAACTCAGACAAATAATCTATTTCCTTGCCTAATTTTATTAACTGCCATTTTGTAGAAAGGTAATGAATGTACAAATACAGAGTCTCTGAAATATAAAAGATAAAAAAAAAAATAGCAGCAAAGAAGTTAAAGCCGAAAAGCTCAAACAATACCAAACCAGACTTTTAAACTCCACCACAGCCTACATTTTTCTAGTTGTTTCATTTCCAGCAGAAAATAATCGATTAATCAAGGAATGATATGTTATAAAAATAGTATTCAAAACAAGATTCTACATCTAACAATTTGTAGTGGGAACTGTAGCATGTCACTTGCTTTTTGTATAATATAATGAGTTGTATATGTACCTAAGTTATTTTGCCAAATGTATATATGAACCAGCTCTCATCTGATGTCCCACTACTTTTCCCACTTATTGTATAAAATTCCTCATTTCTCACATAAGTAAGCCCAATGCCTTCCACCAGATACTCTCAAATTCTGTTTACCATGAAGGTCGAACTCAGTGATTCAGAAGGTGGATACCATGCAAAACAAAACAAAAATGCACTTGTACAAGATTTGTGAATCCTTTGGACTTCAGTGGGAGGGTTTGGGAGCTGCAACCATCAACAACTGAACAGCCATCCTTTATTCTTTTCTCACCTTTTCTTTCTTTTCTTTATTGTCCTTTGCACAAAATTAAAATTCCTGCTATTTTCTTTTGCACGTTATTTCCATTTTTTCATCTTAACTGCCCAACTCATTTCCTACTTAAGAATGGGAAGGGCTTGCATATGAATGACTGAGTTTTTAGCCAAGGTCTTTTCTTTTTCATCAGCTTCTGTTTAGTGGAGATTATTCTTTCAGAATATACACTATCTCATTGAGTCTTCTAATTAATGTCTTCATTTCGAAGTCTGAACTTAATGAATCTCAATGAAAACTTGATTAAATAATGACAGTCACAACTATATTGACTTAATGTTTATGTTTGAACAATACTTATTCAGGACTGATTGAGTTGGGCAGACCAGAGTTTTCACCAAGTTGGGCTATTCTTAGATGATTGTAATAATCCTCTACCTGGTGTTTCTACCTTTAAAGTTTCCTTTTTCCAATCTGTCACACCCAGCAGTATATTAACACTGTTTTAAGAAATATCCTTTTTACCATATTATTCTCATTCTATCTGTCTTCCTTTTCCCAGCAAGATAAAGAATGCTTTCTATGTTGCTTAGTTTCAAGATTTTTGTAAATTGACTTTACCATAGTTTTCATCCTTTCTGATTTTACTACAATGAATGCTCCTGCTCTAGTTCCTCTCTCTGTAGTTCTTCAAATGTATCTTGCCTTTTCTTGTTCTATGGCTTTCTTAATAATATTAGTTCCACTCAAAAGGCTTTCTTCAATCCTCTCAACCTCTGCTCTGAATGCCCTGTAAATAAAATGTCTATAACTAAAGCTTTCCAAAAACCTCTCTACTCTCCTTTCTCATTCTCTCCCTTTTCCTCCAGATATAGTCAGTAAAAAATTACCCCACAGATTCTCAAAAATTATGACAGTATTTTTTTCTTGATTTATATACTTGTTTTTATGAATTGCTTTAGGCTAGCTTAGTTTTCTATTGTCCTATAGTAACTTAGCATGTGCCTTAAAATGCACAATTATCATCTCAGTTCTCATGGGTCCAGAGTCTGGCGGTGGCTTAGCTGAGCCCTGTGCTGAAGGTCTCAAAAGGCTGCAGTGAAGGTGTTGGGGTGGCTGTGTTCTCACTTCGGAGGCATCACGGGAGAAGAATCCACTTCTAAACTGACTAGGTTGATGACAGAATCCTTTTCTCCTTGGTTCAGGACTGAGGGCTCTGGCTTCCTGCTGGCCATAGGCCACCCTCAGCTCCCTGCATCCCGGGCCCTGCAGGGTGGCTGATTACAAGGCCAGACACTAACAGAGAGGCTCCAGTGTGAGTCTGCCAGCAAGACGGCGTCCTGGGACCGACGTCCCACTACCTTTGCTATGTTTTGTTGGTTAGAAATAGGTCACAAGTTCTGCTAGCACTCAAGGGGAAGGGATCATAGAAGAACATGAACACCAGGAGGTAGGACCCCGAGGAGGGGCACGCGCGTGTGTGTCCACCTCCTGCACTAGTCTGTCTTCTCTGTGACTGAAGCCTGGTGGAAAAGAACTTCACAGTTGTCCCCTCTTATCTGAGGAACATACATTCCAAACCCCCAGTGGATGCCTGAAAGCGAGGACAGCACCGACCTGATCACCGTCAGTCAAAACACATTTCTGTTCATGTCTTTGACCCACAAATGTAATGCCTTTTCTATCTTGACTAAGCATTTATTACACATTGTCGCTATTAACTTTTGCTGGTTGAAATGTAACCGCAAAACTAGAATGAATTTCTTTTTCCTTCTTTGCATTTTCACAGATAGAAGATTCATTTCCATTGTTGGTCTCAGCAACCTCTCAGCATATGGGTTTTTTCCTTTCCTGTAGTCGAGAAGTCTCACCTTTTCACTTAAAGGAAGCGCTTTACAGCTTCTCTTTGGCATAGTTGAATTGCCAGCATCACTACTCTTGCACGTACTCTTTTTTTTATTTTATTATTATTATACTTTAAGTTTTAGGGTACACGTCTTGCACGTACTCTTTTTTTTATGTTATTATTATTATACTTTAAGTTTTAGGGTACACGTCTTGCACGTACTCCTAACACAAGCACTGAGATACAACGACAGTCGATCTGATTGTCGCGATGGCTCCTCATTGACTAATGGGTAGATACTGCAGAGTGTGGACAAAGGAGCAATTCCCATCCCAGAAGGGACAGAGGGGAGCTGCTCTGGATGGCGCAAGATATCATCATGCTACTCAGAATGACACAGAATCGAAAACTTATAAATTGTTTATTTCTGGAAGATTTCATTTAATATTTTCTTTTTTTTTTTTTTTTTTTTTTTTTTTTTTTTTTTTGAGACGGAGTCTCCCTCTGTCGCCCAGGCTGGAGTGCAGTGGCGCGATCTCGGCTCACTGCAAGCTCCGCCTCCCGGGTTCACGCCATTCTCCTGCCTCAGCCTCCCGAGTAGCTAGGACTACAGGCGCCCGCCACCACGCCCGGCTAACTTTTTTTTTTTGTATTTTTAGTAGAGACAGGGTTTCATCGTGTTAGCCAGGATGGTCTCAATCTCCTGACCTCGTGATCCGCTCGCCTCGGCCTCCCAAAGTGCTGGGATTACAGGCGTGAGCCACCGCGCCCGGCCGCATTTAATATTTTCAAACTGTGGCTGACATCAAGTAACTGGAACTTGAAAAGTGAAGCCTCAGACATGGTTTTATGAATCTAAAGCCTTCTTTATAATTAAAGTTCTTTAAATTCATTTTATGTCAACTGTCCTTAATTGCTAAATAGTTTTTAAAAGATCCTTCAGATTTAAGTGAATTAAGTATGATTCACAGCATTTTAACTTATTATAAAATGGTTAGAGTATAGGTGCGATAGCTCATGCCTGCAGTCCCAGCACTTTAGAAGGCTGAGGTGGGAGGATTGTTTGAGACCAGGAGTTCCGGACCAGCCTGGTCAACATAGTGAAACCCCGTGTCTACAACTTTTTTCTAAGCAGCCATGGGTGGTGGTACACACCTGTAGTCCCAGCTACTGGGGAAGCTGAGGTGGGAGGATCTCTTGAGTCCGGGAGTTGGAGGCTGCAGTGAGCACTACCCTCCAGGCTGGGCCACAGAGACCCTGTCAATAAAATAAAAATAAATTAAAAAATGCTTAGCATATAAACTTTGAAAGAAAGTTCCATTACCCAACAGAAACCATTTCCAGTGGACAAAATTGTGCATGTATGCACTGCATTATTTTCCATTTTTATTTTAATGGGTATATGTAATTTGGAAAATTCAAATTAGATAATTGACACAGTTTACCACAAAGGATTTACAACTATTATCTATTATCCATGCTATTTTTAACCGGGGCTATGGTCATAGTCTTCTTATACCAACATACTTTAAATAAACAGTTATTTTGATGTTGATTCAGAATCACCTTTTTACTATTTTAGATCTGTATTATAAAACTAAAGGAAAAAGTTCTATTGAAAGTAACAATTACAAGATACTATGTGTGATCAAGTTAGAAGATTAAACAAAAACTCTTTGGGAAGAAAAAGGAAAATTTGAAAATATTTTAAATTATAGGCAAGATAGGTAAGACTAGACTATTACACATGTATGCCAAGGATCTCCTTAACATATAAAATCTATTGAACCAATTAGCTAATCTGTATGATAGAATATAATCACCTTTTGTTCTACATAAATTTTGTTCTGCATGTGTTCCCTAAACTTTGTTCTGTGTAATCACACCAATTTTCTAATTAAAGAACTTGAACTGATTGCTTTGATAATCAGTAGTGATTGTAATCAGTGAAATTAAGATGATCATATGAGCACAAAACACTGCATGCCTCTCCCCCTCCCTCTCTCTCTGACACACTCATGGACACACACTCACATATGCACACACGCACACACACACACACACATTCTCTCTCTCTCTTTCAATTATGCTCTGAAATACCACCATTGGGCTTTTGTGCTAGGAGGTTTTATCTTCGAAGATTTCTTCCATCATTGTCCTTTGTCATCTGTGGTTGGCTTTGCGGGTGGAGTACCCATTACTTCCTCTCCTCCATGGAAGCTCTATCTGGTGATCCTATCACTTGGCTCACCTGTCCCACTATTGTACATCTTCCTCTATCTCTATATCTCATTGCTTCCCTGATATCATCTCGGTCCTTTAATTCTGTGGGGATGTTGCTTGCCTGTTTTCTTTCCACTCACTCTTTAATTCCTTACTCTTCTAGTCAGTTGCCTATCCTAACTGTCAGCTGTGGTCTAGACTACAGCTTCCAGTGCATTAAACGTTTCAAAGTTAAGTCTTCTTGATCTAATCAAAATCAAAATCATTATCGTCTTCTTACTTTGGTGCTTAAACATTTTTTACACATATAGAAACCATGGATACATTTTTATTATAAATTCCTTTTTACATAAGCTTGGGTAGGTGATTATAATCTAAAAAGGTTTTTTGATTATTTGAAAATTCAAGGTTCTAGCTAAGCACAAAAATGAAACCTTTCATGATTCCTGGAGCTAAGCTTTAAATGTAGCACACAAGTATATAAAATAATGATAAACTAGATGGGTAAAAATTGTGAACATTGTTTAAGTAATTATTATGAAATGGTGTTTATTAGACCTGAATATATGATAAAGAATTTACAATACAGGAAAAGTGAGATGGGGTTAGTTCACAAATGGAGCAGGCTAAAGGACTAATTTGGAAAAAATAAATGAATTTGTGGTGATATTTTTTGATTACTCAAATAGGGAAGGGGAATATGTAATATAAGAATTTCTTACAAGTTTTTTCCAAAGTACCCATTCCCTCCTTTATGGAATTTTTTGAAGTCTCCTTGGTCTTGCGGTACTCAACGTCGTGCTGCCACCACGAGCTATGGGGGTGCTTTGGAGCAGAAACATTGGGAACAACATTTTCTGTCATGCTATGGCCTTAATTAAGTTGCAGCTGTATTCATAAGTTTAACATGAAAAGGACTTTTAAATATAGATGTCTAACTGACTTCCAGAAGGGCAAAATCTTCCTAAATAAAATTGAATAAATGCCATTTATTTATTTTACTTAAATTTCTGTTTTAAAGTTGGCAGTGAATCTAATATTTATGCAACCATTTGTCTCCAGCACTTTTTTGGGTAATAAACATCAGTGTGGCCAAATGTCACCTCATTCCACTTGTGTGTCAATGACAAATATTGATAATAGACAATGTTACTGAAAAAAGTATAAGACTTTTCTTGTAATTATTTTGTTTCTAAAATAAAATACTATTTTAAAAATAGTATCATAGCCCCACAAGACACATTCCAAAAGGTATGAAATTTGTGGAGGTGGCGGGTAGGGGAAGAGTTTCAGTTCAAGTATATTAATTCCTCAGATTGCTAAGGATCATACCTAACTGTGATGTAACTAAGCTTCTTCATGTTCTGAGTCACCATTCTCTCCTGTTTTAAAAATTATGATTCTTATGGTAGATGTAGGTTTTGATTAATTTTAACACAGCAAGAGATTAACAAATTATTATTGATATGGGCTTTTCAATTTGCTCTTTCATGTGTCCCAGTTAGAATCAGCCTCAAATCTTCACAGCATGTACAGTTGCAAGGCATTGCCCAAAGGTCTGTTTTTTTATTGAATGGAATATATGCTTATGTAGCCTAAGTAAGTATGAGGCTCATGAAAGTGTCTCGGTGCCACTTCATTTACTTCACTTATTCTTTACACAAAGGATTTATTTGTGAGCAATCTGCCAGGTTTTTGCCTATTAGATTGTATTTTAAATAACGGAAGGAAACCCAGAAAACCAGGGTCATCTGAGTCCTGTAGATAAATTAGAGGTGTAGGGGTGTGTGTCTGTGTGTGTGTTTGTGAGAGAGAGAGATAGAGAGAGAGAAATATTAAGAGGAGAAAGAGAGAGAGAAAGAGTGAGATATTTGTACTAGAAACAATTATTTCCTAGCACAAATGTACTGTTTACTTGCTTTTATGTTTTGTTTTGTTGTTTTCTTTAGAGACAGGGTCTCACTGTCCTGCCCAGCCTGGAGTACAGTTACGGATCATAGCTTACTGCCACCTTGAACTCCTGGGCTCAAGCGAGCCTCCCGCCTCAGCCTCTCATGTTGATTTGTAAAATAAGGATTCACTTCGTCTGAATTCAAGGGGATACAGGATGTACTTATTCAGTAATACTTGTCACTTTCTTAGTCACTCTGATTTCTAGCTCAACCAATTCTTTTGGGTTTAAAGCAAGGTGACTTTTGCAGTCCAAACTAAGTTGATGATATATTTGATGAACAGAGGTAAGCCGGGAAAATAGCTGGGACTATTAAAATGGTCATATTTCTGAATCTTTAGGAAACAATTCTCTATATGGGGCAAGTCCTTGGTTTAGAGGTCACAACTCAGTGACAACACAGGAAGCGCCCCCTTTCCCAACAAAGCAGATGCATTTTTACTGTCCCTAAGTTGACTGAAAGACATCACTTCCAATAACAATATTTTGAAATCTTCCTAAAGTCTGACTCATTCCCTCTAAAGTTTTTGACTTACTGTTTACATTTAATAATGAACTTTAGAAAAAGACATCATGAATCAAATGAAAATCTTCAGTATATTTAAGCTAATCAAACTTGGGCACCAGGAAAATACTGCTCTTGAGCCAGCACTTGCTCCTTAAAGAATGATCTTCATCATGTGAGCTTTCTATTTCCTTGATTTTTCATGAAACAGAAATGTCCTCAGCACTTTTGAAACTGACTGAGGTATTTGGTATTCATCAGTATAACCTAGCTGGTTCACACAAAATGGGATTTTAAGAAATGTTTCAGGTAAAAACTGAAAGTGAGTAAATTAAAATAAAATGCTCTTCATGCGAGGACATCAAATACTGTTGATTTTGCCTTTGTGGGGCAGTTCTCTCCTGTGAAGGCCTAACTCTGACAGATAGATTGCTCCTGCAGCTTCCGTGGTCTTGAGCAGCCTGGGAAGGAGTAGGCTTTGGCAGTTTTGTCAAATCCTGAAGCCTCTGGCAAACGTTGCGATTGGAATTGATAATGTCCTAAGGGCCAGCATTTATCTCTCTTCCTTAATGTGTCACACGGCGCATATCTTTCTACATGAGCTTCTCTGGGGACAACAGTTATGAATGCTTAATGGGGCATATGTCTGAGGGTTAAAAGAAAAATGTGCTTATTAATGAAGTACAAAAAGAAGGGTAGTGATTGAACTAGGAACCTGGGAAATAACTGGGTAAATTGTCAACTTCTGAGCATGTGACTTATCTGACTCTGAGTAGAGACCGTTAAAAGCTGATGTCCACACTGTGGATGGGACTTGAACTAGCTCCGTCTCCATGGAGTCATTCTAAGGTGATCAGAAACCATAACAATGAACTTAAAGCCACTCTCACGACTACATGTACATATATCTTGCATGTCAGAAAAAAATTCCAGATGAATATTATACAGATAAGAAGGCTTAATTATCCCCAAAGTTGCTGTCTTTATACCTCAGAATTACTGAAAAACATGAACAGGATTTATGCAAATAAAATTATTTAACACTAGATTTTCTATACAGATAGTCTTATAAATTACAATGATAATAAATAATATATGACTTAAGAAGTTTATAAAGTTTAAGAACACCATTGTCAGGGAATTGTGGCTCTTTATGGTGGTAAAAGACACCTAACATAAAACTCATCATTTTGACCATTTTGAAGTGTATAATTCAGTGGCATTACTACATGGAGAATGTTGTGCGTCCATCACCACTATCTGGCCCCAGGACATTTTCATAGCCCCAAGTAGAAATATTGTGCCCATTAATTAGTCATTTTTCATCTCCCCACTTCCTCTAGCTTTTGACAACCACTGATCTGCTTCCTGTCTCTGTGAATTTCCCTACTTTTGATATTTTATGTAAGAGAAATTACACCATATATAACCTTTGTATCTGGCTTATTTCACTCAGCATATTTTTAAGGTTCATTCATGTTGGAGCCTGCATTGGTACTTCATTGTTTTCTTATAATAACATTCCATTGCATAGATATAAAAAACTTGGTTGATGCATTGATCAGTTCATGAGAATTTGGTTTGTTTCCACTTTGGGCTGCTGTTGATAGGGCTTCTATAAATGTAAGTCTTTGTTGGACTACCTGGTTTTCTTAACTTTTAAGTTCAGTGGTCCATGTTCAGGTTTGTTATATAGGTGAACTCATGTCATGGGAGTTTGTTATACAGATTATTTCACCATCCAGGTATAAAGCCTAGTACCTAGTAGCTGTTTTTTTGATTCTGTCCCTCTTGCCACCTTTCACCCTCCAGTTGGCCCCAGTGTCTGTTTTTCCCCACTATGTGTCCATGTGTTCTCATCATTTAGCTCCCAGTTATAAGTGAGAATATGTGGTATTTGGTTTTCTGTTCCTGTGTTAGTTTGCTAAGAATAATGGCCTTCAGCTCCATCCATGTCCCTGCAAAGGATACAATCTCATCCATTTTTATGGCCACATAGTATTTCATGGTGTACATGTACCATATTTTCTCAAACTATTCTACCATTGATGAGCATTTAGGTTGAATCTATATCTTTGCTATTGTGAATAGTGCTGCAATGAAAATGTTCCTTTTTCTCCCCAACCTCACTAGCACCTGATATTTTTTGACTTTTTAATAATAGCCATACTGAGTGGTGTGAGATGGCATCTCATTGTTGACTGCCAGTTTTTAATTATTTTCAGTTTATAGCCAAAAGTGGGATTTCTTATTCATATGTAATTGCATGTTTAATGTTTTTAATAACTACTAAACTGTTTTCTACAGTGGCGAAACCATTTTACATTCTCTCCTGCAATATAAGAAGGTTCCAATTTCTTCACATCCTCACCAACACTTAATGTTCCTTTAAAAAATTTATTTATTATAATCATCCCATTTCCCAAGCATCTTTCATGTCTTGTTGGTCGTTTTTATCTCTTCTTTAGAGAAAAGTATTTTGTCTATTTTTGTTTGACTTTTTGTTCTGCAGTTCTAAGAGTTCTTGGTATACACATTTTATATACTAGACCTCTATCAAATATATGCTTTGCAAATATTTTATCTCATTCTGTGGGTTTTTAACATTCTTTTGATAATGTCCTTTAATGCACATTTTTTAAAAAGTTTTGATGAAGTCCAATTTATACATTTTTGTTCTTTTGTGCTTGTGTTGTTGGTATCATATCTGAGAAATAATTACCAAACTCAAGGCCATGAGGATTTCCTTCTAAGAGTATTAGAGTTGGCCAGGTGCCATGGCTTACACCTATAATCCCAGCACTTTGGGAGGCTGAGGTGGGTGGATCACCTGAGGTCGGGAGTTCGAGACCAGCCTGACCAACATGGAGAAACCCCGTCTCTACTAAAAATACAAAATTAGCCGGGTGTGGTGGCACATTTCTGTAGTCCCAGCTACTCAGGAGGCTGAGGCAGGAGAATCTCTTGAACCCGGGAGGCAGAGGTTGCAGTGAGCTGAGATCGCACCATTGCACTCCAGCCTGGGCAACAAGAGTGAAACTCCGTTTCAAAAAACAAACAAACTAAAAACAGAGTATTAGAGTTTAAGGTGTTATATTTATGTCCTTCATCCTCTTTGAGTTATTAGTTTTATATATGTTGTGAGGTAACATCCCACCTTCATTATTTTGCATGTGGATATCCAGTTGTCCCAGCACCACTTGTTGAAGACACACTTCCTTCCTCATTGAATGATCTTGGAACCCTTGTTGAAAATCTGTTGAACATTGATGTATGGGTGTATCAGTTCTGAATTCCTGATTCCATTTCATTGGTCTATAGGTTTATTCTATTTCAGTACCACACTGTTTTCATTAATGTAGCTTTACAATAAGTTTTGAAATCATGACAAGTAAGTCCTTAACTCTGTTTGTCTTTTTCAAGATTGTTTTGGTTATTCAGCTTCCCTTGCAATCTCATATGAATTTTAGGGTCAGCTTTTTAATTTCTGCAAAAAAAAAAAGTTTTGGGGATTTCGATAGGGTGGATCATGGCTTTTTTCATGGTAAGCAAAATATATTAGTTATTGTAGGTCAATTTACCAAAAAATGATATTACTTAGTAAGCAGTTACTTACTAAAATGTTAGTACTCATTATTTTAACAGTAATATAGCAAAAAATTTTATATTCACTTGGTATAAATAAAACACATCAAAAATTCACCAAAAATGTGTAACTATGATTTACCAGAAAGTGAATATCATATAACCACCACTGAGGAAACAAAGTAGAACACTGCCAGGATCCTTGGAATGAAAGGTTGATTTAACAGTTGAAAACTAATGTGATTTTCTATGTTAACCACATAAAGGAGGAACAACCATATGCAACTGATGCAGAACTTCTAAAAATCAGAAGAGAAACCACTGCTAAAATGTATCACAAAATATTTAACTGCATGTTAAAGACACAGAGTGGTTTTTTCAATTGTTCGAATTTAAAAAATAAGTATGGTTTCATTAAATAATCAATAATCCATGGACGATAGCATTGCTGTGAACGTGTAGCAGCTGAAATTCTCTTGTATTGCTGGTGGGAGTATAAGACAATATGGCCACTTTGGAAAGCTGTTTGGCAGTTTCTAATACATTTTAATTTATGCCTATGTTCCAGCAATTCCACCTCTAAGAATGTGTCTATACAAATGATTGCATGATTTTACAAAAAGACTTGTGCAAGAATGTTAATAGCAGCTTTATTTAGAATAGACAAAAAATAGAAACAACACAAATGTCTACCAATGGGGAATTGGATGCACAAAGTATGGTATACTTATATAATGGAATCCTACACAGCCAAAAGAGGAAGACAAACCATTGCTACACAGAACAATATGGATAGATTTCACAAACACAAGACTGAAAGAGGCCAGACACCCCAAAGAGGACATGCTGCATTTTTCTCTTTAAATGAAATTCCAGTGTAGGCAAAACTATTATCATTGATGGTGGATTTCTTCAGAATAACGGGTTGTCCCTGGGGATACCTGCGGGGAAGGACCAGGAGGGAACTTCCTGGGATGATGGAGATTTCCTTTTATCTTGAGCTGAATGATAGTTACACAGGTGTATATACAGGTAAACATTAATTAGATGCATATTAAGATTCGTACATTTTACTAAGTATAAATTACACTGTACCCCAATTGAAAAACAAAAGACTACTTTTCGACTACATGGAACTGCATAGTTGCAGGAAGTCAGAAGACCCTACCTGTGTGGGCCTCATTCTGGACCTTATTGTTTCTTTCTTCTAGTTGTCTGTTCTTGGATCAGTGCTCAAAGGTTTCAATTGCTGTAGCTTTCTAATAAATCTGATTTCTGGCCATGTAATACTTTGCTCTATTTTTAACTCACGGATGAATTCAAGCATTAAAAAAAAAAAAAATACCCTGCCCTTCTACTCATCTTCCATGAATCAGTTGACACAAAGCATGTAGTCTGGCAGGGCAAACTTTGCTCCTGTGAAATTTCAGTTTTAAAATGAATTTAAATGAGTGAATATCTGTGATGTATCCTATACTCAGTGTTGTGTCTGTCCATTTACCTGGTGAGAAAGACTTGAGGACAACAATAAAAGAAAAGTAAACCAGACAAGAAGTACTCCAACAACAATAAATCCATGAATGTTCAGTACACTATCCATGTGGCTCTCCTCCCTTCATTCTCTCTTGCTGCTAGATGCCCTTTCTTTACTTCCGGGACCACCCACTCCCCTCGACAGTGCTTCTGTTTACCTTCCACTGTGATCACGAAGTTGGCTAAAGTCCTATCCCCAGCTATCTGCAGAATTCCACCCAAAAGAGGTCTAGAGATTACTCAGCACGGGAGGACATTTCTTTTCCAGGAATTCCAGTTGCATCTTGAATTGAAGTTCAATTGTGTCATTGATTGTGACACAAGGATCTAATGTAGAACAAAGGCATTAGCTCACATGAAAACTGCATAGAAGTTCTGATTTAAATTTATGCCTATCACTGCTGCTGATGAAATAAAAAGAAAAATAAGAGTATTTTTAAGTATCAATTTGTATGATTTTACTTTTAGTGTCTGATTTATGATCAGTTATATTGAACTTTATTTACAAAGGGATGTGTATTACTCTTTTTCTTTCTTTTTCTTTTTTCTTTTTTTTGAGACAGAACCTCACTTTGTCACCCAGGCTGGAGTGCAGTGGTGTGATCCCAGCTAACTGCAACCTCTGCCTCCAGGGTTCAAGCAATTCTCCTGCCTCAGCCTCCCCAGTAGCTGGGGCTACAGGCGTGCACCACCACACCTGGCTAATTTTTGTATTTTTAGTACAAACAGGGTTTTGCTATGTTGCCAAGGCTGGTCTTGAACTCCTGGCCTCAAGTGATCCACCCGCCTTGGCCTCCCAAAGTGCTGGGATTACAGGTGTGAGCCACCGTGCCCGACCTCGCTCTCTTCTTTCTCCCTCTGCCTTCATTCCTCCTCTGCAGATTGTGCTCTTATTTGCATGTAAGTTATTATGGCACTTAGGTCACCTTCCATGTCCAGCACCGATAATTAAGTAACTAGTCTCTGTGTCCCAATTCCAAATTTCCAGCTGGAGAATCCATCACGCCCAACTGGGGTCAGATGTCCAGGTCCACTCAGTGGTATTCAGAGAATAAAGATGCTAGATATGCAGTAGGACCCCTTTCTGAACAGCTAAAGGAGGTAATGTTCAGAAAAGGAGTGTGGACAGATATGTACAGTGGTTATTAGAGAATAAATGAGATAAATAAAACTTGAGATGTGATTTCCGTTCCCAATTTGAAATGTATCCTTTGATATTTCACATGGTGATTGTATCTTATCCCTGAGGGTTTGGGAAATCTTGTGATCCTGTGGATTTTTCTCAAATCTCACATCAGACAAACACACAAAGGCTATATGAGCACTAAGACTCCCTGATTAATTAAAACCTGACAAGATAAGGATGTCATAGAATTATCTAAGATAAAAGGAAATGCATGATGAAACTGCAGGGTGGGGTGTGACCTCAGTTCCATAATGACATTTTTCAGATAGGACTAAAAGACATGTTTGAATGGAAAGGAGAGTGAGAAACAACCAGTTTAACCTGCAAGTTCTATTTGAGATTTCTACCACAGAAGCTTTGCTTCTAAAGCCACATGCTCAATAATTCTCGCCTTTTTGAAAAGCTTTCTCAAAGAGTCTCTACTGCCTCCTTTAAGCTTTCGTCCTGTCCCCAAAATTGACTAAGCAATAATCATCCATAATATTTATATGGTACCTTATTTCTCACAATAATATCATACTTTCATCACAGTTTTACAAATGAGGGAACTGAGGCCCACCCAAAAACTCAAAGAGCATAGTAAGTGCCACAAACAGCACTGTGATACAGTCCTTTTGATTCCCAGGTTAGCCTTAAGGAGTGGGCAGTGACATACTGAGATATTTCTCTCCCACTTGACTTACTTTTAAAAGACTGTCTCTCTCTGTCTCTCTCTCTCTCTCTCTCTCTATATATATATATGTGTGTGTGTATATACACATATATATAGTTATTACATATATGCATATGTATACCATATATACTATATACACACATGTATATATAGTTATTACATATATACACATATATGTATTTATGTATATATAGTTATTACGTATGTATATATAGCCATTACAAATAACATTTTACTCACATTTTAATAACTTCCACAGATATTGGCATGGTGTTCTTTATTTTTGTTTTTATTATCTCAAGATACAAACAAAATTCCAGATTAGTAGTTATGTCAGTTCTTTTTGTTTATTTGTAAAAGTGAGTCATTTTTTGAAACTGTTTATTTCTAAAATTTGGCATAAAAAAGAGCATTTTAAACTTACATAACATAAATTGTCAGAGCATTATATAGAGAGAAAATAAGAAGGGAAGCATGTATTTATATTGCATGCATCCTGGATTTACTACTTCTACATCAAGAGCTAAGGAAATATGCCATCAAGTTTATGATGTTATAATACTGTCACTTTACATCTGTCCTGGAATATATAGAGTCAATGATTTATATGACTGGTTTCGGTAAGCAGACCATTCCTGATTCCCGCCAGACAATTTGTACCACAATTGGATATGTTAAAAGTTCTGTAGAACATGTAAGTTTGACAATAGCCTTTTGAATATTTTTTCCATCTTACAGAAACTTGGAAATTTCATCTTCAGCAAAAAATAATAATTATTACTATCAATCTAATGTTAGCTAATTTCTTCTTCTCAATGAGAGATACATATTTTTAGGGACTCTTCTGTCAGTTTTTAAGATAATGGGGGAGACTGCTCCTGGAGTTACAGAGAGACGACCACTGAAAAATTTGTCCTTCATAAAGCACTGAGAACACTGGCACTATCAACTTTTTCAGGACTTTGGAGATTAATCAAAGGCTTCCAACAATCTAAGAAGCATTTATAGGCTGGGCATGGTGGTTCATGCCTATAATCCCAGCACTTTGGGAGGCTGAGGTGGGTGGATCACTTGAGGCCAGGAGTTTGAGACCAGCCTGGCCAACAGGGTAAAACCCTTTCTCTACTAAAAATACAAAAATTAGCCGGGTGTGGTGGCAGACTCCTGTAATCCCAGCTACTCAGAGGCTGAGGCAGGAGAATCTCTTGAACCTGGGAGGCAGAGGTTGCAGTGAGCTGAGATTGAGCCATTGCACTGCAGCTTGGGCAACAAGAGTGAAACTCTGTCTCAAAAAAAAAAAAAAAAAAAGAAGAAGAAGAAGGATTTATTCAGGAACAAATGGTTGAACTTCAGCAAGAGCAGTGTTTTGTGGTCCTTTGACTATTGTAGCCACATCCTCTCTTCCCCGGCTCTATAATAGCCCTAAAACCCAGCAGCCTTGCAATCTTGGCAGCCACGAAAACCAGCAGCCTCGGAGCCACAGGTGGCTGCAGACTGGGTTTGGATCTCCTCCAAAAACACCATTCTTAGGAGAATTATCATTTGACATATCTGGCAACTTCCACTCACAAGATTTGTTTTTATATAAAGTGACTCAGAAAAAGCTCACTACAAACCTTTTCCCTGGGGCATTTGTAGAAAACAACCAGCAGGAACCCTTTAGTATTGCAACAATTGGTACAAACAGGAAGCTGGCCAAAAACACTTAGAAGGAAAACCTGGAAAATGAGAGGTCCATAGAGTACTTCGAAAAACTGCAATGTGTTCCTCAGGAACTAGAAGGCTATGCACATGTTCAGAGCTGTGGGTATGCTCATAAGATACCTGGGAAGACCCCAATTTCTCTCCTAGGACTGACCTTAAGGCTTTGCACAAGTAGGAAGTGCAGACTAAGGAAAAGATGTAAACTGTCTCCAACAGCACCACAGGAATGCCCCAGCATAGAAGCCCAGATCCTAAGCGAAGGCTGAGAGGTTTATTGTTTCAAGCCATTTAAGGAAATATGTTTACTCATTGACTACTACGATAAATGAGCAGAGATTTCAGTGGCTACACATGATACATAATATAGACATTGCAGATTTAGTTACGAAAAATAATGAAACAAACAACCAAACAACAATTACAAGCAGAAACAGCAATCTACCCAGGAGCGGAGAGGGAATCGGATTTTCAAAGTCTCCACATTTTATTATTCATCATGTTTAGTGCTATGTTTGGAATGTTTGTCACCCCCCTGCAAACTCATGTTAAAATTTAATTGCCATTGTAATAGTAATAAGAGGTGATTAGGCCATGAGGACTCTGCCCTCATGAGTGGTTTAATGCTGTTATCACTGGAGTAGGTTTGTTATCGTGGGAGTGGCCCCCTTTTAAAAGGATAAGTTTGGTCCCTTTTGCCCTCCCCTTCTTCCTACCTTACACCATTGGATGACCCAGCAAGAAAGTTCTCACAATATGCTGGCCCCTTGATTTTGGACTTCTCAGGATATAGAACAGTTAGAAAATAAACTACCATTTTTAAAAATAAATTAACCAGTCTGTGCATTCTGCTATAGCAGCACAAACCAAACTAAAAAACATAGTTGTCAACAAAAAATTATGAGATATTCAAATAAACAAGAAAGTGTGTTCCACAGAGAGAGAAAAAAGTAGTCAACAGAATCTGTGTCTGAGAGAGCCCAGATATTAGATTTACTGGAGAGGGATTTTGAATAAACGATCATAAAAATGTTCAAATAACTAAAGAAAATTATGTCTAAATCGCTAAAGGAAAATATGAAAGTGGTATCTCCCCACATAGAGAAGAACACTTATAAAAACAAACAAATAGAAATTCTGAAGTTGAAAAGCACAGTAACTAAAATTAAATATACATTAGCAGAAATAAAGTGTATTTAAGCTGGCAAAACAAGCAGTGAATTTAAAGATAGATCAATTAAGATGATCCAGTCTGAGGTAGAGAAGAAAAAAAAAATGAAGAAAAATGAGCACAGCCTAAGGGGCCTGTAGAGCACCACCAAGTGTACCAATGTACATAATGGAGTCACAGATGAGAGGAGAAAGACAAGGCAGAAAGAATATTGGAGGTACTAATTGGTGAAAACTTGCTGAATTTGGTGGAAAATATTAATCTACACATCTAAGAAGCTTCTCAAATTCCAGGTCAGATAAACTGAAACAGATCCATACCTAGACACAACATAAACTGTGAAAAGCCAAAGGCAAAAATTATCTTGAAAGCATAAATACAGAAGTTATGCTTCATGTACAAGGGTTCCTCCAGAAGATTAACAGCTGACTTCTAATCAGAAACCATGGAAGCCAAAATGCAGAAAATGACAAATTCAAAGTGCTAAAAAGGAAGACTGCCAGCCAAGAATTCTATATCCATGAAAATGACTTTTCAAAAATGGAGGAATATTAGGACATTCATTGCAAACAAAAACTAAGAGAATTTTTTACTAACAGGTCTGCCCCTCATGAAATAGCAAAGGGAATCTTTCAGGCTGAAATGAAAGACATTAGACTTGAATTTGCATAAAAGATAAACAGCACTTGGAAGTTAAACACATAAGTAAATATAAAAAAACAGTATTGCCTATTTTTGTTACTCTAATTTTTAATTATATTTAAAACATAATTACAGAAATAAATGAATATAAGTCTGTTATAAATGAGCACACAATGCATAAAGATGTAATTTGTTTAAACATAATGACCCAAAGTTAGAAGGGTAGTAGTGGTAGAGGGGACAGCTGACTATATAACAGCAAAGTTTTTGTACACTCTTGAAATTTAGTTGACATTAATTTGAACTAAATTATTATAAATTAATATATTAATTGTAATCCCTAGGGAAATTATGAGAAAATAAATAATATATGAAAATAAATGCTTGAGAATCAAAATGACATGTAAATTAGTACCTGTTTACACAAAAGAAGGCAGCAATGGGGGCATAGAAGAATGAAACAGGTATAATACACATAACAAACAAAAGCAAAATGGTAGGCATAAATCCTACTTTATCAGTAATTGCATTAATATAAATGGATTTAATACTCAAAAGGCAGAGATTAGCAGAATTGATTAAAAAGTCATCCAGCTATATTTTGCCTGTAAGAGACATCTATTGGATTCAAAGACACAAATTGGTTGAAAGTCAAACGTGGGAAATCATATACCATTCAAAAAGTAACCCAAAAAGAGCTAGAATACATATGTAAATATCAGGTAACTCAACTTTAATGTAAAAATTGTTATTAAAGAAAAAATAAGGACATTATATAGTGATAAAGGAATTATTCCATCATGAAGTCATACAAATTGTAAATATATATGTGCCTAACAACAGGGTTCCAAAATACATGAAGCAAAACTGAGAGAATTAAAAGGAAAAATAGAGCATTCATAGATATTTGAATATTTCAGTACCTTTCACAGCAATGGATGGAGCTAGACAAAAGTTCAACAGGAAAAAGAAGACTTGAACAACCATATACAGCAGAAATTTATCAAACATACTCTTCCACAACAGCAGAACACTCCTTCTTCTGAAGGGTGCATGAAACATTCTCCAGGACAGACCACGTGCAAAGCCATAAAACAAGTGCCAATAAATTTTAAAAGAATTAAAATATTACAAAGTATGTTCTCTCACCATAATGGAATGAAAATAAAAATACTTAATAGATGGAATGTTATAAAATTCACAAATACACAAAAATTATCTATTATGGGCTAAATTTTGTCCTTCCCTGTCCCCTCCCCTCAATTCATATGTTATACCCTTAGCCCCCAGTAAATCAGAATGTGACTGTATTTGGGAACAGGGCATTTAAGGAGGCCAATAAGTTAAAAAGAGGTCATTAAGGTGGGCTCAAATCTAATATGACTGGTGTTTTAAGAAGAACAAGTTTGGACACGCACAGTGTGTGCCATCAGAGAGTCACATGTGAGGACACAGTGATGACACAGTGAGAAGGCAGCCATCCACAAGCCAAGAAGAGAGGCCTCAGAGGAAATCAAACTGCCAACACCTTGATCTTGGACTTCTAGTTTCCAGAACTATGAGAAAATAAATTTCCATTGTGTAAACTAGCCATCCGAGGTATCTTGTTATGATAGCCCTAGCAAACTACTACATTAACCAGAATACTCCTAAATAACCAATGTATCAAAAAATGAATCACAATAGATATTATAAAATAATGCTAGATAAATGAAATGAAAATACTACATACTAAAAGATGTAAGGTATAACTAAAGCAGTTCTTAAAGAGAATTTTATAGCTATAAACACTCATCTTTCTTTAAGAATTTCGTTTTTGCTGGGAATGATGGCTTCCATGATGAGTTAATGGGTGCAGCACACCAACATGGCACATGTATACCTATGTAACAAACCTGCATGTTGTGCACATGTACCCAAGAACTTAAAATATAATACAAATATATTTTAAAAAAGAATTTCATTTTTAAGAAAATCTTTAGATTCACAGCAAAATTAAGGGGAAGATACAGAGATTTTCCATATAGCCCCTGCTCTGACACATGGGTAGCCTCCCCTGTTATTAATCTCCCCCACCTGAATGGTACACGTTTTACAATTGATAAACCTACATTGACACAACCTAATCACCCAAAGTCCATAGTAATAAATGCCTATATTTAAATACATAAAAGTATCTTAAATTAACCTAACTTTTTATATTCAAAAATGAAAAAAAGTAGTGAACAATATCCAATGCCAATAAAAGGAATGTTACAATAAAGGTTTGAGTAGAAATAAAAGAAATATAGAGGAAAACAATAGAGAAATCAATAAAACCAAAACTTGGCTCTTTGAAAATATCAACACAATGAAAAACCTTAGCTAAACTGACAAAAAAAAACCAAAAAAAAACCTGACCAAACCAAACCAAAACAAAAATTACTAAAATCAGGAATGAAAGAAGATACAATAGTGCCCCCTTACCCATGATTTTGATTTCCATGGTTTTAGGTACCTATGATCAATCCTGATCCAAAAATAGAAAATTCCAGAAATAAATAATTCCAGAAAGTTTAAATTGCACAACATTCTGAATAGCATAGTGAAACCCTGTGCCATCTCACTCCATTCCATCTGGGACATGAATCAACTCTTTGTCCAGCATATACACTGTGTACACTACCTACATGTTAATCATCAACATCGTCTGCTCTTGTCATCTAACCATTGACATCATCATGGCTCAGTGATCCGGGATCACCTGGAACACAGGAGGCTTTTCTGACCTATCATCAGAAGGTCAGTTGTAGCCTAATGCAACATCGCGGTGTCTATGTCATCTTGTCACACAGGCATTTTATTATCTCTCATCATCACAAGAAGAATAAGAGTGAGCAAAATACAGTAAGATATTTTGAAGAGAGAAGGAGACCACATTCATATAACTTTTATTACAGTATATTGTTATAATTGTTCTATTGTATTATTGTCATTAATCTTTTGCTGTGCCTAATTTATGAATTAAATTTTATAAGTGTGTGTGTATAGGAAAATCATAGCATATATACAATTTTGTTCTATCTGCAGTTTCAAGCATACACTGGAGATCTTGGACTGTATCCCCCAGAGAAAAGGGAAGTATACTGTATATTAGAATCAAACTTAAAATGGGTTAAAAGGTAATACTAGTAAAATTATATGCCAAAAAGTTAGATAACCCACATGAAACGAAAAAATTCCTAGAAAGACACAAATCATGATAGGCTTATATCGAATAGATTTAATTAATAAAATCTTTCCACAAAGGAAAACCCAGGCACACATGGCTTCATGGAGGATTTCTTCCAAATGCTTAAAGAAGAATTAATACTAGTTTTCATAAATGCTTTTAAAAATATGAACAGGAAGGAGTACAGCCTAACACACTCTATATGACCAATCAAATAATAATAATATCAGTAACTACAGGCATACTGAAATCTAAGATCAAGAGAAACCATAGAAAATTGAAACTGACTCATAGCTGATGCACATGATATAGTTATCAGATTTGATTTCATAATAACTCCAACCAACATGTACAAGAAATAATGATAAAACCTTCTACCAGGTAATTAAAATCTATATGAAAGTATCAAATGGAAAGTGTAGGACTAAAAAATAATGTGACAAATTAAAATTGAATTGATGGGCTGAACAGTTGATTGTATGTGGCTGAAAAGGGTTTCATATTGTGGCAGGGCAGTAGAAAATATCCAAGGTAATATATTGAGAGAAAGCAAAGAAATGCCTAAGAGATATAAGGAACATGATGATAATGCTGAACATATATCTCAGTGTGATCCTTGAGGAGGAGAAGGAATGAAATGGGTTACAAGTAACATTTGAAGGGAAAAATGGTAATTCGGTTTTCAGAACAAATTCAAGATATTTAGCCAGTGATTCAAGAAGCACTGCAAATCCTTCTAATATGTAATTGTGATCCCTTTTGTCCTCCGTCTTCTCCAGTACCAGTGCCAACTAGATTATACACTCTATGAAGGTAAGATTGTTTTCTATTTCTTCTCTGTACATCTGCACCTCTTGGGATAGTGCTAACTATTAATACATAAAGGATGCTCACTAAAAATTTGTTTCATTTGTCATAACTGCACACTGGATTGGGATTGGAGAATCTGGGTCAACCTGGCCACGAAGACCTTGGACTTGGCTTACAGTCTTCAGGATTTAGTCAGGTCCAGTTTTGATCAAGTTGAGTGCGAAAAAAGAAGTCTGAAAGCCATGGCCAAAGTGACATGAAATGAATTTTAACTGGTTGAAGACTGTGAGGTCTCTGGGGCTAAGGTGGGTCTCGGCTAGTGCTTGATTCCGGGGTGCTTCAAGCTAATTGGCCCAAATTCCCTTGCCAAGGCTGGAACCTAATGCAGCCTTGACTTCATGCCCAGCCCTCATGGGTCTCCTTGTCCAGGAGGGTGGCTGGTAACAGTCTTGAGCATCCTGTGAGTGCATGTGGATCTGAATCAAATCAGAAGCAATCACATAAGGTGTGATTGAGCAGCTCACTTGAATAAAGACTTCAGGCAGAGCCCACCAAAGCTCCAACAACCTGGCTAGACCCTCTTATCATGACCCTGTTGTTTCCAGGCTGGACGGAAACAAGCTAAACAGTCCTTGGATGCTGATTCCCATGGCTGTCTATGCTTCTCAGTATTATAGGAACATAGGGATCAATGGAATATAGGGATCAATGGAACATAGGGATCAATGACATAGGGATCAATCAATGACGTCAAGGAACATAGGGATCAATGGACACATCTTTGACTGCCTGAATTTAATAACCTGGTGACAGAACAATTTGTATCTTTACGAAGTTTGGGTAAGGATCTTAAGCATAGTGAGGGTCGAGGGTCATTGCCCAGACTCAGTCTTTGATTGCAGGCCTCCCCATCCACTGCAGCATGAGCACCTCCTGTGAGCTCACCCTGATTATTCCGGATCCATGTAAGGGAGGTCTAGCTTAATATGCATGTATTGAGAATACTGTGTGTCCTGAGGGATCCTGTGGGACATGTGGTACTAGGGGCCAAAGTCTCAATGGCAAATTAATGGGAAAGGATCTTCTATCAAGTCTTTGCCACTTACTAATTCTGTCTCTTCCAAATGAGGCGTTCAGAGGTAATTTCCTGAGATTGTAAAATCTTAGCAGTTTTTCTCAGAATGTCTTAAAGGGACCATCTGCACCAGAATCTCCTGCAGTGTGTGTGCATGTGTTTTTTTAAACACACAATTTTAGATCCCACAACAAAGCTCCTAAATCAAAGGATTGAAGAGATGGGACTAGGGCCTGATTCTAATGGGGGCAGAAATAGCTCCCAAAGGTGCAAAAATGGGATTTTGGAGGACAAAAACTCAGCTAAAGCAATGGTTTTGTGACCCTCCATCCGGTCACATTCCGTAATCAGATATCCCAGCCTGTGTGTATTATTACAATTTCACAGAGGGTGAGGGGGTGATAATAAAAAACAGATTGAGAAGCCCGGAACTAGCAACATTCATCTTAATAAAATCCTCAAGTTATTCTTATACATCCTAAAGTTTGAGCTCTACTTAGGAAAGGAAATCTGTATTTCAGCAGCATTGCTGTGCAAATAGACATTTCTGTGGTGTTGATAACATAATTTCTATATTCCTGCTTCTTGCTTCTCTTCTTGATTGACATGTTAATGAGATAAGATACAATTTTCAAAGGCTTTCTCAAAGGACTATCAACTGTATGGAAATTCTCAGGCATACTTTTTTAGAAGTCTTCACATTGATGTTTTCATTATCATTTCAGGAGGAAAAAAATGACACTGGCTTGATACTTTGTTGTTATTCATTGTAACTTCTTTATTTAGAAATAAAATCAAACTTACAGAAAACTTTCCCAGGTAACACAAGAACTCCCATATCCCCTCTAACCAGGTTTACCAATTGCTAACTTCTTATCACCTATGATTGTCCGTCCCTCTGTCTGGAAACTGTCTTCTGCAGGGCTTATAACAGGAACAGAATTGAGAACGCAGGTATGCTTAGTTTTATCTTCCTTTCCTCTGTTGATGTTAAATGTAACACCTTTGTGAATTCAAGAGCCACTGTGGTGGAGATTGTGTGAGAGGAGGTATAGATTGCTATGCAGTCACATGTCCACACTAGCTAATGGGGTCTCCAAAGACCTTACAGATAAATGGTGGCAATACAGTATCTAGAAACACAAAATAAATGCTGACAACCAGGTGGACTATTGCGATTGGTTATTGTTGGTGATGGTGGGAAGCAGCTGTGTAGTCTATTAAAGCTACTTAGCAAATTTTATGATATATTTTAGTCCATTTTTTACCCTAATAGCTGAAAATTTGGAGAATGAATGTTTCTTTTTAAATATCAAATCATGCCCCCCCACCCCCTCCCACAGGCATCTCGATGGAGTTCTGCTGCAGCTTGATGATGAAGCCACAAATATACAATAAATGCTGAATCCCTTCCAAGCGGCAACACTATAAAAGGAAGCCTGCGCTTCGTTATTCTATTTGGTCCCCAGATGGCTGTTTTCCTTAGGCTGTTTCCTTGCCGATTTTGTCATAACAGAAAGATTCAGAGTGGTGCTGCCGTTTCACTTGACTGGCCGCTCCAATCATGTTATTACAAAGTTGCTATGAACCCGTACCTTTTTGGATAAAGTATTTTAACAGAAATTTGGGTAATTTCCCACACAATTAGTAATTCTGAGGCCAATAAAATGGATCTTGATCCTGGCTGTGATTTTGAAGTTTTACTCTCTGATGCCGTTTGGGGTTAAGGGCACAATCACTGGAGTCCTGTTGCTACACTTGAGTTCTAGCTCCATCATGTACCTACAGCTTCAGGGAACCACGTAATGTAACAGAGCCTCAGCTTCCTTATTAGTAAAAGAAAGAGTGACGATTATAGTGTCTGTATTATAGAGGTGTGGAGGGAATTAAAGTAATTCTTACACGTAAGGTACTCAGTACAGGGTTATACCAAAGATGTTCAACATGTATTCGTTTCATAATTTTCTTCTCAAAATTATTATAAACTAATTATTACACAAATGATATTTTCTTCATTGTATCTTCACATTTAGGTCTCTTACAATTCCAGTTTTTAACCCTTAGCAGAGCCATAGAATTTAGTTCACACTACTATCTTTATATGCGAAGAATAACCTATTTCTCTATTTGGCCAGTAGTCGACTTTGTCTTATTCTTGAGTCCTTACTCATGGTAATGATGGGCAAGCCAGTTAATATCGAGTCTGTGGTTCTAATATGGTTCCATCTTGATCATGCAAACAGCCCTCTCAAAAAAACTGTCCTATCTAGGACAAACAAAACTCAGATTGCCCTTTTCTCACTAGGATGATGCCGGGCTGGATGGAGGAAGAAGCCTTTCTTCCTAGCCTGTTTCTCTGTGATGAAAAGGACCTTCAAAGAGCTTGAGTGTAGCCCTGCTCTCATTCCTGGGCATTCCTGTGCAATGTTCTTTATGAGTTTCATGATTGCCCACTGTAGTGATCTGGAGCTCTCCCTTGCCAGCTTCTGAAAGCTGACTGGTAAAATTCCAGGAATTTTGTGAGTTGGTTGTGAAACAGTTAAATACTACCTATATTAATAATTAAATGACACGAACTTACAATGCAGTAGATTGTATTTAAAGCAAAGGTAATAAAGATTCACTTTCTCCATGCTCAGCATTCTCCTTTGCCTTGTATATTTCCCCCTTTGTTCTACTTTTGTTTGATAAATTATACACTCATCCTCCAGGTTAATATGCTAAATTTGCCTCACGTATGTTCTGCACTTAAATTCAACATTTAGTAACCAGAAAGTTTGGAAAACATTCAGAATAGATCTTAAAGTGTGGATTCTATGATATATTATTATGGGGTTTTATTGCACGTAGTCATTCCAGTCATTTATTGATCCTTAAGAAGTGCCTGAAGCATGCTACATATGTTGTCTCATTTAATTCTCACAAACCCCCATGAAATGAGTACAACTGTCCATTGTTCTACTGACAAAAAACTGAGACATAAAGTTCAGTAGCTTTCCAGGTCTCATGCTGAAACCTGTGTAACCCTAAACCCAAAGAATATGGATCACTGATTTCTATTATGTATAATTCACTGTGTGTCTGCATAATGGACTCTGCATAAAAATCTGATTGCATTTTACTAATATTATAACATGATACAATCTACTTCACACTATCTTTGTAGTGAGATCACACTTATGCTATTTCTTTGCAGAATATAAAAAGTCAATATTAGTTAATTCATGATGGATAATTTCATTTGCTAAAAGAATAAATACTAGAGTAAAAGTGCTGTCTATCATCTGAGGAAACCATTGGCAAATGTATGAAATGAACTTTCTATTCTCATGAAAGGGATTTTAAACACTAAGAGTAGTGAGTACATGAGTTTGCAAGAGGTGCCTTCATTTATTCTATATATATATAGAGAGAAAGGGAGGCAGAGAAAGGGCGGGGGGAAGAGCATCTCCATACCACGAAACAGGACGGTTCTTAGAAATACAGTGAAGAACAAGAGAAAGATGGCCTTGGCCTCCTCAACTTCTTGTAACAGCAGAGAAAGAAGATAACCCAGTTGGCAAATGAATACGACACGAGCTGTCAGGTTACAGCTGATACTACAAGTTTGCCACCTTTGAGAATGTTTTTGTAACACACTACTCAATGTTAGCAGATTCTAGGTTATGAAAATAATTAAATCCTTGATTGCAGAAAGAACATCATCAAAGGAAAGTCCCTTGGCAATGAGTAGATGTGAACATGCTTCTATTTAGGAACTTCTTCTGGATGTGCTCCAAGGGTGCGCTGATGTAAGGAAAGCGTGGCCAGGATGCACGGGGCAGGGCAGGCTGACCTGGCTCACAGGCGGAGGCCTGTCTCCCTCATCACACCCACTGCACCCACCGTCAAAGAGCTTGGCCTTCCTGGAGAGGAAGCTTTGCATAGTCACGATGTCTGCCAAGACTCATGCTGCCTTCTGTGATATGCAGTGAGATTTGGGGAAGATAGTCAGAGACTAGACATTGGAACACATAAAAGAATTGGAGTGCCATAGGAAAGAAGGCCCCGTCAGGCAACATTTCAAGTTACAGATAAAGTTAATGGGAAGACAGTATGCCTCAGTGAGGAATGAGTTTGAACCTGAGCCATTTTGTCCAGTTGTGTGTAATAATGAAATAAAAGAGTAATTGTTGCTTTAATTTTGTGTGTGTGGAAAATGCATTCATGGTATTTTATTAAAAGTATGATATTGCTGTTAGTAGTGGAAACAATTATAGTGCCTTGGGGGATTGAAGAACCTTTCTATGGGGCTTGTCTTATAGCTTCATTTTAAGTAGCAGAGAATGGAACACAATCAATCAATCTCTTAATACTCTGTGGCATTCTGTGTACTAATGAATTCACCTTTGCTGTTCAAATGGAAATACAGGTCACCTTTCAACTGTGAATTTATTCGAGTAATTGGTATATAGTTTGATGTATTTGACTTAACTAATTTGGATATATGTGGCTTTGTTCTGACGTGCTTTGTGAGAATGGTGGAAACATTGCCAAGGGCTAATGGCACCAGTGGAAGGTTAATGTGCAAAAGTAAACTTTTATTGCTTTAAGCCAATGGGCCTTAATGAATTAAAAAATAAAAATAAAAATTCAGTGACCTAATGCCCGTGTGAACCTAGTGAAGTAATTTCTATCATTTTGCTTTTCTGTTCTACAATGGATGAATACACAAGACACTTTGAAACAGTAAACTTTAAAAAATCTGTTTCACTTTCTCATTCATTTGCATGATTGTAATACGAAATTATGTTGCCCAACCATGGAATAAGTTTGAAGATGACAAGAAACACCACCAATCATCATAATAAATAGGGTCAGATGGCACAGAAGCCGTAGTCTTTGGTTTTCACAGCTGTTTGCATTTTAGATATTAACGAAAGCCTACACATTTGGTTCCACACGTGGAAGAAGGACTCTCTGTAACTCCATTCTCCTCTCTGTTGTTTTCAGTGCTTCGGCTCCTGAAGGAGGGGGCAGACCCCCACACCCTCGTCTCCTCGGGAGGGTCCCTGCTCCATCTGGTAAGAACCGCGACAGTCAGTGCCAGTGCATGGGGACACCCGGGGGAGAGTACATTACAGGTTCAAACCCAGGAACGAAATGTACATCTCACAGATGATGATCAGAAAGATGATGTGTTTCTAATTAACAGGCTTGGATGATAAGCTGCAATTATTATTAATTACTGTATTGAAGTTTGTAAATAATCTAGAGTTTCTACCCTAAAGAAATCACTTTTAAAAACTAATAGCATTCAAAATAAGTAAAATAATATTGTATCAATTATACAGTATTAGGCAATCATCCTTTCTTTTTTCCTACAAGTTGTCCTTATTCCTCTAATGAAATTTTACTATACTTTGCTCGTGATCCAGCTCTTATAAAGGCAAATACAGCCTGCCTTGTAGTATTTTAGAAACAAAGTAGGGGGTAAGTGAATAAACAAATAAATAACTACATTTAAAAATATTATATTATAAATAACTGCATTTAAAATATATTAGGTTCGTGTGCAAGAAATTGTTGCTGGTTCTGTTCAGGGCAAAAATGAGGTAAAAGTCAACAAGTATTCGATTTGGTGGTCTTTACAACTAATTTAAAGATAGAAACTTAATTTTGAAAAATATAGAAATTAATGTAAGATATCAATCTAATTTATGATTGTCTCTCAAGACAAAAAGTAATGCTATATTTCTTCACATTATAGCAAACTGTAGTAGAGGGGGTCATGCCCTTAACTTCCAGAAGCTCCTTAACATCACATAAATTTTCAACCTTGATTGCACCTGGGGATCATGTGGGTGTTATTAAAATACTGACACCTGACTCCCAACCTGAGTTGAGCCCACAAAGATTCTTACTTATTTTTTCTGGGATGTAGCTTGACCGCTGGGAGTTGTTAAGACTTCCCAGGTTATTCTAATTTATGGCCAACATTGGGGAAAAACTGCATGAAAGAGAAACTGGTGTATACCAAAGGCTCAAGAGATCTGGAATGCAAGTTATTATACAGTCAGCAGAACAGAAAAAGAACAGAGAATATTGTGATAGAAGACAGTTTGCCAAAGAATATAGGCGTTTTCTCTCTAGCACTGGAAATAGATACAAAGAGAGATTTCAAGGTAACGTTTTCCTTCTCTGGAATGTTTTGGTTATGAAACGTCTCTGTTTTACACTCAGATCCTCATATGGCTTCCATGATATTTTCAAGGAGCCATGTCTCATTAGTCCCTAGATCCTAGGTTTAATTTTAAGCAAGCCTAGACTAGGCACATTCTGCTAAGAGTCTTCCATAGATTAATATTCTCTTCATGGCAAATATCGTAAGCCTGTTTTTTTGTTTGTTTTTGTTGTTGTTGTTGTTGAGACAGAGTCTCACTCTGTCGCCCAGGCTGGAGTGCAGTGGCGCAATCTCGGCTCACTGCAAGCTCCGTCTCCTGGTTCACGCCATTCTCCTGCCTCAGCCGCCTGAGTAGCTGGGACTACAGGCACCCGCCATCACGCCCAGCGAATTTTTTGTATTTTTAGTAGAGATGGGGTTTCACCATGTTCGCTAGGATAGTCTGGATCTCCTGACCTCGTGATCCACCCGCCTTGGCCTCCCGAAGTGCTGGGATTACAGGCGTGAGCCACCGTGCCCGCCCATAAGCCTGTTTTTCGGGAGGTCTAGTTATCAGCATGTTTGCACGTCCCAGTAGAAAACAGACCTCTTCCATGAACATATCAGTGCAAGTCATTGTTGCTGTTACTAGGAAAGTGTTATTTCTGTGTATTTATGTGTGAGAGAGAAAGAGGAAGGAAAGGAGAAGGAAGAGGAGTTGGAAGGGAAACAAGGAGCACAGGGGACAGGGAGAGACTGTCACTTCTTCACGTGTGTGTGTCTGTGTGTGTGTGTGTGTGTGTATATATATAGAGAGAGAGAGATTAGATATGTTAATTTTTATATTTTTCAAAATTAAGTTCCTATCTTTAAATTAGTTGTAAAGACCACCAAATCAAATACTTGTTGACTTTTACTTTATTTTTGTCCCTAACAAATATTTTTCTATATATAGATGATATAGATAGTATCTGACTTTTAATGAACACATATATCACTATGCTCCCAATCAACAAATCAGCAGTTGCTTTCTTGATCTTTGAAATAAAGCCACACCACCACCATCTCTCATCCCCTCGACAGCTGCCAGTCGGTTTTAAACCACCATCCCTCTTTTCTGGGTACACAGCTTTCTTCCTCTTCTCCCAGGTTCCATCTTTGCCTGCACTATACTGTTTCCCATTCACAGCCGGGTCATGTCACTTCTGTATCTGAAATGCTCCAACAGCTTTCCTTCTCTCATAAGTAAAAGCCAAAGTCCTGCTTATGGCCACACCATGATCTGTCTCAAGCCCCAGCCCACAGCCGTTGCAACTTCTCCAGTCACTTTCCCTCTGCGCTCTGCTCTGCTGACACCGGCCACCTTGCTGCTCCTTCAGTGCTGGCCCGTGCTCCTGCTCCGTGTGCTCTTGCCGGGTTTCCACCCAGCACATGCCTCTCAGATGTACACGGCTCGCTTGCTGACTTGCTGTGGGTCTCTGCTCAACGTGATCTAAAGGAGCAGCCCTCCCTGGCTTGCCCTATGGGGTATAGTAACTCACCACTGACGCCTCACAAGCAACTCCACTTCCATTCCTTTATCTTGTTCTTTCCCATCTTTTATAGCACACTTGTCACCAAACCCATCATAGGTTCATGTGACTATTTTCTATTTCCTAGAATGTTAGCTCCATGAGAGACAGGACTTGTCATATTTTCATGAATATTATAATGCCCAGGAGAGTGCCTGATACTCGGAGATGCTCAGTAGATTTGTTAAGGAGATAAGCTAATTAATTAATGTTACTACTTAATTAATATCTGACACTGTGATAGATATTGGGGTGAAAAGATGCAAAATGCATATACTGTGTCATCTGAGGGAGACAGAAAAATAAACCACTGATTGCAGTGGACTGGAGAGGGATAAGCAGATGATAGCGAAGGAGGCAAACAATGGGGCCACAATTATTTTGTTGTGGCTGCTTCTGGGCATCAGTTACAAAGGCTTTTCTCACTCTCCTGGTCCGGCTTAATAACCCATTTGTCCAAGCTCTCATAACATACACTCCTTGCTTCTCTGTAGATATTGCCACAATGGGGTATAATTAATGGAATATGTGGCTTTTTCTCTCTGCTAGACTGAAATCTCAAAAACTGTGACTGTCTTGGATACTTTTCTTAGCAAGTGATGCATAGTGAATACTTGTCCAAGGTCTCATAACATACACTCCTTGCTTCTCCGTAGATCTTGTCACAATAGATTATAATTAATGGAATATGTGGTTTTTTCTCTCTGCTAGACTGAAATCTCAAAAACTGTGGCTGTCTTGGATACTTTTCTGTTCTTAGCATGTGATGCATAGTGAATTTTCAATGCATAGTCAACGAATGAATGAATGAGCTCTAAGGATATAAGGGTCTCTTTGGGTGAAGACCTAGGTAACAGTATACAGAGTATAATCTAAGCCTAGGTGACAGAGTATAAAGATTCATAAATGGTAGCATCTGAAGGAAAAGGAAATGAGAAGGTTAAACTGATGAAGTAGATGGAAGCCACTTTATTAACTCCCAACCCAGTGCAAGGATATTGTATTTTTATGTTGTTATGCAAAGGTTGTGAGACTAAGACAAAGTGGAGGATGAATCTGGAGGACGGATAAGGAAACCTCGTGGCAGCTGAAGGAGGAGGTGCTCAGTGCTAAAGTCTCCTTTTCCTGGGGTTACCAAATAAATAAAAACAAATGAAAAATTGCAGGTTGCTGGAGAGATGAAATTACAGGGTTTCAAAATGTCTTAGGTACTGAAAAAGGCAATGTAGCCATCTAAAATGTCAAGTGTGAGTATCTGTGCTGTTGGCCTCACCTTTTGGGCGTCCCACATTACAGAGCCTGATGCTTCATCAGCACTGAGCTCTAATTATAGACGATCAGCGACTTTGAGGGAAAGAGAGAATGCGAGTGTGGGCATCAAGAATCAGCTGCAGAAATTACTTAGTTGTGTTTAACTCAATTGCTATTAAAGGTAGATATTTGAGAAACATATTTTAATGTTTTGGCCATATAGCATCTTTAGTTTTATCTTATTTTTAATAAAATTTCAACAAATACATCTGAATTAATCTTTTTACCCCACCATTTATTGAATGCATGTGTTAAACATATGGCAGGTATCAGGTACTCTGACAGACAGAAGGGGAATAATTGCAAAAAGTAACAATGTCTGTATCCCAGGCAGTTGGTCTCATGAGGCCAGTATAGAAGAAACCTTAGATTTAACTCTTTACAAAAAAAAAATTATGTTTATGAAGTAAAAAACAGTATTACATACGTTTTGCTAAAATGTTGTCCAGGGTTTTGTTATTACCTTTATTCGATGAGCAATTGAGAAGGCGCTCCCAATGGTAACTGAACCCTCCGCCTCAGACTATAGCCAAGCTCAGGTGAAATATATTAGAAATAAGAACTACTCTTTCTTTGATCAAGTGAATTCTAGTTGTAACATGGATATAGGAATTTAAACAGTGGAATTCATGTAGCTGTTAAAAATATTCAGCTGGCCAGGCATGGTGACTCACGCCTGTAATCTCAGCACTTTGGGAGGCCGAGGCGGGCAGACACGAGGTCAGGAGATCGAGACCACCCTGGCTAACATGACGAAACCCTGTCTCTACTAAAAATACAAAAAATTAGCCGGGCGTGGTGGCGGGCGCCTGTAATCCCAGCTACTTGGGAGGCTGAGGAAGGAGAATGTTGTGAACCTGGGAGGTGGAGCTTGCAGTGAGCTGAGATCACGCCACTGCACTCCAGCCTGGGTGACAGAGCAAGACTCCATCTCAAAAAAAAAAAAAAAAAAAAAAAATTGAGCCATAATGTATCTGAAACTATGTCCAAAACATATTATACATGCCCAAAGCGGGTTACAGAATAGTGCATATAGCACAATCGGATATATGAGAGAGAAAGAGAGAATCCTTTTAACAGCCAACGGAGGATCTTGAAGACCAGATAAGAAATTTTCAACAGTGACTCAGGTTGGGGAAAAGGGGACCAGGTTTTGTAATTATTTTCTGTTTCCTTTTACAAATGACTTGAACATTTTAAATAAGAAACATGCGTGTTTCATATAATAAAACCAACATATAAAATTAGTTAAGACTGTTTTTATTCAAAGTTTAAATTTTGAATAATTTAATAATTTGGCTACTCAAACAAGAAAATGTGCTGCCCAAAACCGAGCTGCTCTTTGCTCTTCACCATCAGTTTCTCTAAAGGCTTGCATGCTATAAGAAGCAGAGATAATTAGCACCTTACTACAGTAGGGGTGGTTCAACAGCCTAATATCTTCAAAGTCTAGCAGAAAATAATGTATTTTGTAAAGAGGCAGAATATCAGGATTCTAGAGAAAATGCCTAGAGAAATATCTTATTTTTAAAAATGTCTAGGTATTAAAGAACAAAAATAGTTGCTGTGTGGAAGTTGTCCACCAGTAACCCTGCCCACCCACCTGGACATTGGCCATTGAACTCCAAGCCCCTTTTTTGCTTTCCTAGAAGAAAAAGAGCAAGAGCTACAAGGGCAGACTCTAGCAAGAACATCAATCACAGCAGAAGACAATATCCCCTCTGCACAGGAAGGTATTCCACACGGGGCCCCCACTCCACATCCTCCAAGGACCTCACAGGGGCTGTTCCTGCATGTTCCTTGGAGGATGTGGAATGGGGGCCCCATGGAGGATGCAGCAGCAGGAAGCAGAAGGCAGGCAAGGGGCAGGAAAGAGAGCGGGCACAGCCAGGCAAGTTGGGTGATACTGATGTCTGAGGGTGAGCGCTGCAGGGTGCTGCCTGGCGCTGGCAAACAGGCAATGGAGGGGCCACGGACTGTGAACAAGAGACTCTTCACATAACCCCAGGGGTGCAATTCAAGATTCAAAATCCTGGCTGGATGTGGCTTTTTTCAAATTCATTGTCTTTTGGGTCCTTGAGAACCATCACATCCATAACTGGAAAGTCCCTAGTTCAGAATTTTAGATCATTAGTGAGATATCCAGCTGAATCTTGGAAGAGAATCGTAACCTTGACCTGCCTGCGGATGTATTTTTATCATGACTCCCTGCATGCATGGCTTAGGGGACAAAAGGGCAACAGAAGAGCACATTGTGATGATGCTTTAAATGCTACTGGAAACCCAATGGATGAGTTTTCCATTTTTTAGGAATACACCACACGGGCCTGATTTGCTCTGCATCAGATGATCTAAGAAAGGCCCCAGTGAAGATAGCAACTAGATTTTGTGTTTCGTTTTGTTTTTATATCTTTGTAATAAGGACCCCAAATTATTAAGAATCAGAACTCTTTCCTGACAGGGTGAAGGCAGATAACAAGGCATTTTCCACAGACTTCTTATAGAATTATAGCTCCCCTAAGGAAACTTGCAGACATTCACCTTCAAAGCCACTGGTAACAAAATCTTTCCTGGAGAAACTAGAGTTTTGTAGCAAGAAAGGGTTTCCTTACTTATCAGCCTGAAACTCACCTACTTAGAAAGTCTTTCTTTAAGCAACCCTAATAATTTACATTACTCTCTAGATGTACCAAACTGCTTATAATTCCACAAATGGCTGATCCCATTCCTCCTCAATATCACTCAGGCTGTTTCTTACTTTGGGGAGCTCTACCGAGACGGGCCAGCAGCTCACCACGGTCCCATCTCAGCTTTCTGCCTGCGTCATCCCCCAGTTGTAGGTTGTTGGTCCTGAGGTGAGTTCTTGTTTATAATAGCCCTCTGGCTTAGCACAGCACTGGGGGCATAGTAGTTCCTCAGTGAATATGTACGTTTAACTAACAGATATATGAATGTCTCACCCCAGGCCGCACCCACTTGTTCACTGCCTCTTGATCCTTCAAGACAAGCTCCTGTGTTCCCGTATTCAATTATCCAATTCCTATCAGGCTATTAGGTACCTTCTGCTGTGACTCCATAGAATGCTATGTATACCTTTTATCATAAACCTCACAATATCAAACAGCACTATTTCTTAAGAGTGGTTACTATGTAATTCACCTTTATATATACCTTGCCAAGTACAGCTGGAATATAGTGTTGCCTAATAAAATCTAGAGAATTTAAAATGCAGCAAACCAGTGCTGCTGATGAAGGAGATTGGTTTACATTCACCCAAAAGGATAACAGGTTTTTAGGATTTTAAAATTTCTGGATGTGGTTCGGTGTTTAGAGTCTGGTTCAATTGGCTGGAAGCTGCGGCTCTCTGCAGTGCAAATAGAAATAATAAATATGATTCAACTCACAGCATTCTGGGTAGTTTATCTATGGCAAGATAATCTGGAGTATAATATTTGCCAGAGAGAAGATCATGAAAAGCAAAAATAAGTATGTTCAAGATAACACTACAGTGAATATGATCCTTCAATGTGACATGGTGGCAGAGAAGTGGACGAGAGTTTGCAAAGATTCAAGCACAGGCTGAAAGGGCCGGTCTGCGGTATTGCTGTTGAATAAAAACAAGCGTATGGAAGTTCCAGAATCATGTTAGATTTTGAGAAATTGCAATAAATTTAAATTTATTTTGCTACTGATATAAATTTATCTATTTTGTCCGCTACTTTTCTTCTCTCTCTGTCACTGTTTCTGACTTTCACTGTAGAAATGTTCTTTGAACTACTGAGAACTCATAAACATAGGACAAAAACATGGACTATATCTCACTCAAATTGTGCACCTCACGTCACTTCTTCTTCCCCCATAGCTACCTAAAAGTTCAGAGTTTTGTTGTTGTTGTTGTTTTTTAATTTACTGGTAGAACTGTACCTGGCACATGACATTCACGAAGACAACCCTGGATCAAACTGGATGTTTCCTAGTAATTATTTCTCTAGTCTCCTCTGCCATGACTGCTCCGTAACCACTACAGAGAAGAGAAGGGGAAGCTTGCATTGTAAAACATGTAGACTTGTGAAAAGTCATGTTAAAATAGATCCAACGCTCATTTTAAAAATTGGTGAAAGATAACTCTTATGTATGAACCACAGAATTTGATTTGAATCTTCAGACTTGATGTGTGATTTGTAAATATTTGTAATGATTTTCTGATTTACTGAGTGATAGATTTCAGGGTCATTCATGATATGTTCATTAGCCAATCAGAAGGGCCAGGATCCAGAAACCACCCCTTACACCAAGACAGCAGAAAAAAAAAATTGACAATGCATTTTAAGTTCGAAGTTCCCTTTGCTTGTCATTTGGTTCCTATGATTTTCAGTACTTTCAGATGAATCAATAATGTGCATTGTGTTGAGTTTGTATATTAAGACATATTACCTTTGTTTAGAAAGTTACAAATGAAATAGTGCAGTACAAGAGAAGCTGTGAACTGCTGATGCTGTGTTGAAAAGATTTGTTGACACATTCTAACCACACGGTCAAAGGTTTGGACAGCCTTTGAGGAAGGCCTTGCTCTCTCGTCACTTTGCTCTCTCAGTTTGTCTTAGGAAGCAGAATGAGGTATTGTAGTCATAGATTGGGATGCCAGAATTTAATATTTCAGAGTGAAGCCAGTCTTGCTAATACAAACCAGAGGTGTGGATAAAGATTGGTGGAGTCCAGGAGGGATGACATTTTGGGGTTCTTATGTGGAGTAAGTGGTATTGTTAACGCTTCCTCTGTTGATAGTGTTCAGGAGGGATGACATTTTGGGGATCTTATGTGGAGTAAGTGATATCATTAATGCTTCCTCTGTTGATGGTGTTCTAAGTGGAGAGAAGGCTGTCATCATGGTCCCCAAGTCTTCCATGACAGAGAAGAGTGACCAGGTTGGGAGATGAGGTAGTACATAAGGATTGGGTAAATCTTAGAAAGAAGCACATCAATGTAAGCGTTCAGTGATTCCAGAAGAATCAATGATAAGCTCAGAAGATATCCAAGCTTTTTTAGTGCTCTGTGGAAGAATAAGTTTCCCTACACTGGACAAGGCTGCAGGAGAGATGGTGTTTTCAGAGAGACTGACTTCCATTTAGGTTCTCTGGACATTTCCAGAAGTGGAAATTGGGCTGGGTTCGCATCATTCCATGGAGGGGAGTAATCTGTGGCCATGAAGGAATCTAGGAGCTTAGTTGATTAAAGGGCTTGGTAATTCAGGGCAGGCATCACAGGCAGGTTACCCATATAGTCACACGGGGCCTTCTTTTTAGAAAGGTACCATGCTTGATTTCACCCTCTGATATCACTATCTTGAAATCGTCAATAATTTTAAAACTGGAAGCCATGAATTTTCATTTTGCACTGGGTCCCACCTTAACTAGCTCTTCTTGGCATTTTGAGAGGTAAATGAAGGTGACAGCAGGAGCTTGGGGACCTGGCTCCAGGCTGCAGGTGGAGGACCTGGTGGTGTTGGAGTTCTGCTGGGCATGACAGAATGTGGGTTCAGTCACTTTCTTGGTGCCATAAAGTGTCACCAGAAAGTGGCTGACATAAGGAAGAACAACCTGAATTGGGAGGAAGATTTCCTGGCTTGAAGAAAATTCTTTCTAGGGAAGTAGATTTACTACATAACAATATTATAAGAACATTGTAACAGGAATGTTCCACCATCACACTCTTTTCAGACAAGAGTGACTAGAAAGTATTTATTGCTGTCAAATTATTATTCATAATCCTCTGAAATGTGATTCCCAAAATTATATCACTTGAGAGGGGCTGATATCACTTTCAACACTGGATCTAATTAACTCTGTTTGGTGAAAGACAGTGAAAATCCAAGCTTCAGGTATCTGAATATAAATGTAGATTCCTGAGGTGCAGGTCGAGGATATCTTGACAGGCACAGAAGGAGGAGGTCACATCTTTATTGATTATACGCTGAGCTATCACAAAGCTAAAGAGAGCAGAAAAGGAATTACTTGCATATGAATTTCCTAAAATGAAGTAGATCCGGGCCTCACATTCTAACATCAAATTTATTGAACTTTCATACTGTGCCACTCACCTTCTGTGTCCTTGTACCCAAACCTGAAGCTCCAGGGGATGGGGCCTCAGTTCATACGGTCAAGGCACTGAGTCTAGTGACAGTTTTTTTATTGCTACACATCACCCAGAACATCAGATACAGAAAGACCTTAGTTCAAAACCAAAATTATTCTGT
>NW_021160011.1:0-65394 GCF_000001405.40 Homo sapiens
AACAAGGAAGAACTGATACTCGCGAGCAGGTCCTTCAGATGTGGGCGCTTCTCTGGAGTTCGCACACTGACAACACCGTTGCTCCAAACCACTTTGGGGATGATTTGGCAGGGAACTGACGGGCAAGGTAAGCCCAACCAGGAGGGTGTCCTTGAGCGACCCCGCAGGCGTGCCCAGGACCCCTGCGCAAACCGTTTCACTTCTCAATCTTGAGTTTGAACTCCACTTTCCCTTCATACGGGTCGTGGGGATTGTTGAAGGTCACGTGCTCCGCCATGACCTTGCACACGATGGCGACCTCAGCGTTCCTGGGGATGTTGAGGAGCTTCGCTGCCACCAGGGGGTTGCTGTAGTGGGGCTGAAGTGGGAGTGAGGAAAGGACAGGTGTTTCAAAAATCTCTGAAGTTAAGGAGAGAAAACTAAGCAAGGAAGTGTCAACAGTCAGGTTGGTGCAGAGAAGCAGCTCTTTTGTGTAAGACTGGCCCTGACCGAGTGCATGCCCTGGAATTTGCTGAGATAACACCCCCCATGTAAAAATGGAAAGCAACTGTCTGGAGGGGACAGACAATACCAGGAGTAAATTCAGCTTCAAACTCTTACGATGATTAACGTAAAAATGAAACAGGAAAAGCACGTGATGTGGAGGAAAGTCTTCGAAGTGGATATGCAGTTGTTTTAGAGGATCTGGGAAGTAGAAAAATTAGGCTGGGCGCAGTGGCTCATGCCTGTAATCCTAGCACTTTGGGAGCCTGAGGCAGGCTGATTGCTTCAGCCCAGGAGTTCAAGACCACCCTGGGCAACATACTGAGACCCTTTCTCTATAAAAAATACGAAAATTAGCTGGGCATGTTGGTGTGTGCCTGTGGTCTCAGCTACTTAGGAGGCTGAGGTGGGAGGATCACTTGAGCCCAGGTGGTTGAGGCTGCAATGAGCTAAGATGCTAAGATTGCATTGCTGCAATCCACCCTGGGTGACAGAGCAAGACTGTCTCAAAAAAAAAAAAAAAAGTTGAAGAGTTAGAGTTGTATTTTCATGTTGCGTGAGAGGAATGTTTCCAGGTAGATACAAGAACCTGGGCTTGGGAAACACGCAGAACGTTCCAGTCAGGACCGGCTAAGTCACACCTTTGTTTCATTTTTCTACATGAAGGGGCTTATTGCTTTCCTTTCGCTAAGTGTGAGAGGACTCAGCAGCTGTGGTGAGGGAAGCGTGGAAGGAAGGAACCTACCTGGGCTTTCTTCCCGTAATAAGGGAAGTAGTGCAGACTGAAGGTGCCGTTGGGAGGGTAGTACTTGACCTGCAGCGGCTGGCCGAGCTCGCGGGGCTGGTCCTGGGGAGGAGAGGCCACTGCCTGAGTCAGGCGGGAGCTGGTGTGTGCCGGTGTCTGTGTGTTGCGTTTGTGTGCGTGTGTGCACACACGCGCTGTGTAGGTGCTTGCATAAACACTTTATTGCATACTTAGCATAAATCAGATGCAATCTTTCTAATCAGTGCTGAGATCTCAGCAAGGATATGATTTGTTAGCATGCAAAATGCCCAGTGACCCCTCCGTGTGCCTCTAACAACTTGAAATGTTGGAAGGATGACGCAGGTGGGTGAAGCTGGGAGGCGGCTTGCTTGTCTGTACTCGAGGGTAGCCACTGCTCAGTGGCAAGGGCTGGTTTGCCAAAACTGGGTTACAAGTTGGTGTGAGTGGGGCAAGCGAATGCGTTTTTGTGAGATTGGGGCCCTCTCGTTTCAGAAGCAGAGGCTTGCCCAGTGGGTAGCTCAGGGTCATCAACGAACAGCTGAAGGGTGCTTTGGATCTGTTAGAATCTCAGGAGCCGCAGTGTGGCCCAAATAAATTAGAAAAGGAAAAGCAAATCCCCGCGGCCCCCACCGAGAGTGGAGGCTTCGAGGGAAGTGAGGTTCCCTCGGACACCCTAGTGGGAAGGCTCCACGCGGTAATGGAACCACGCTGTGAAACCTTTGCCTTTGGGTGTCATGGTGGAAGCAAATCTTAGAAGACATTTAATTTAAAAAATTCAGTTTTAAAAAATGTTGACTTAAAAAGCAGTTTTGAAAAACAACCTGGAATTAGCCTGAGATCGATGCCAACTCTTAGCAGTCTGTATACTAAACACAGTTAAACAACTGTAGCTGCTGGCAAGCTGGAACCTTTTTGTAAAGAAGCACATAAAAAGGACAGAACTGGTGGAAGGTGCACTGGTCTTTCCACATCGCCACCAGGCGTTTTGAAGCGTGCTGCTGACACGCTACTCAGATGCTTCTGGAAGCCAAACAATAAGAAAAAGCCCCATTGTTTCCCTTGCTGGGTTTTACCCGCCATGGTGGAGCTCGCTGTGGTGATGGTTCGGTGTTTACGTCTGGTTTACTGGGCCGACGGCTGACATTCCTGGAGAGAACCAGGTGGGCCGTGCCCAGCATGAACCAGCACGACCCTGACAAGCTCCTTTCCTGGGGCAGCCCTGCCCGCCGCGCGGCCGTACTCACCAGGAAGGCGCAGTCCACTCTGGGGGCCGAGCCGTTGCTGGGGAGGAACTTGACGATCTAGAAGGGAAAAGCTTGAGCGTGGCCGCTCCCCACCCCCACCGCCATGTGAGGTGCACGGCACCCACCCATGGAGCTGAGATCTGGCCGGCCCCAGCCTGGGCTTTCTGACCAGGACTGAGAAGGGCCCTTGGTCTGGTTTGCGGCTTCCCTTGGAGGAATCCCCATAGGTGTCACTAACTCATCATTCAGAGCCACAGCCCTCCCCCCACCCACCCATCAGCAAGCCACTTGGCCCAGGCTTCAGGAGGCGGCTGGCAGGAGGCAGAGCTGGGGCGGGGTGGTCTTAGCCCTCGAACCATGTCCAGGTCCGGTGGAGCACTGAGACAGAGCACGGGCCGGCCTGCCTCCTGCTCTGCACAGCTCTTCCAGAAAACTCTCTCTGGCCCACCCGGGCCTTCAGCCCCCTTCCCCACACCTCTTCCCTGGGCTTCTCCAGCCCCAGCCATCCCCTGCTGTGCTCCGAGGGTGGCAGCTGCCATGAGACGGGCACAGTGGCCACCACGCCCTGCTGGGACCCCCGTCACAGCCCCTCCATGCCGGCAGTGCTGAGACCCTGGCTGACGGGGACCCGTGAGGTGTAGAGGGCACAAGCCTGCAGCCTCTTAAGTGGAAAAGGAACAGCACAGCTGCCCGGAGGCCCAGCACAGAGCTGCTGATTGGTCCATGGAGTGGTGGCCCCAAGCCCTCTGCTTGGCCAGGACCTGCCCTGCTCGAGCCTGGCTCAGGGATCACCTCCCCACACCCCCTAAGGGGCCCCTGGTCCCAGGTTGGAAGCCTCTGCTTTAGAAGGTGCTAAACCCCTCCCAATCCTGACTCCAGAACTTGAGGCCCCTTTACCTGGCCCTGGCATCTCTGGCTGCCCTGAAGGGGGCCCTGGCCTTGCAGAGACCCCTGTTCAAATGTTTCCACATGTTTTAGAGGGCCGGCTATGTGCTGGTGTCTGACGAGTGGTTTCAAATTTGTATCTAAGAACCACACGGGACAGGTGCGTGCCAAACCAAGGTACAGGGTGGTGAGGCTGGAGTCCCTGTCCCGCTTGGGCAAGCCCCAGACAGGACACCTGTGCTCCTCGTGGTGGGTGTGGGTGAGAGGCCCTGACTGCACTGTTGTAGTGGCGTGTGAAGGAGACCCTCAGTACTCACCCTGTTCATTTTAATAATAAAACATGGCTTTCCTTCTTCAAAGCCGAAGTTGGGATCCGCCAGGCCTGAGCAGTTCTGCAGCATATCTGCCGTGAACTTGCAGGAGAACTTGGTGTGGTTGGGAGCGCGGAAACTCTCCTGGAAGAAGTACTGCTCGGAGGTGCAGTTGATGCTGTCCTCCTGGGCTGCTGGAGAGTAGCCTGCAGACGGACGCACCTGCCAGCCCTGTCCTGCCCTGGCCCTGACGCCTGGCTGCCCCCCGGGAAGGCCTTGCAAGCCCTGAGTGCGAGTTTCTCATGAAATAGAAAAGGCCGAAGCTGTGGAGCCGTTTCACACCTCACCTGCTGCTTCACACCTCACCCACCCGCCGCTTCACACCTCACCCACCCGCCGCTTCACACCTCACCCACCCGCCGCTTCACACCTCACCTGCCGTTTCACACCTCACCTGCTAGGAAGGCGTGGAGAGTCTGTGTGAGGTCTGCCCAGGTTCTGTTATCAGAGACGTTGTAGACAATTTCCAGGCCTTTCTCCCCGTAAACATCCGGCCTTAAGGTTACCCCTGGAGAGAGAGACCTTTGTGCTTAGCGTCTCCAAATGCTCACCACATTTAAGCCATCAGTTCTGAAGTGGCTGAGGATACGCCAGAGGCGGTGGCCCAACCCAGGAGCCTCCTCGGAGTAAACTGTCTGCAGCACAGGAAGGAAGGACCCCCAGGACAGCACAGTCAGAATGCAGCCTGGGTCCCTGCTGGGAGTTGCCCCGGCCCTGGAACCTGGCTGGCTGCCATGGTGGGGGGTGGGGGGTGGCTGGCTCTCTCCACCGGGTGCCTGCTCTGTGACAGGTGATGACTAATCCAGAGGCTGCACCTGGGTTTCTATGTAAAATTGCATTTGAACATGCATTAAAAAAAATCTTCACTGGTTTTGGTTAAGAACAAAAGCAGTCTAACAACATGTTAACTGTAAAACTGAACATCAGGATGCACACAGCGGGGAGTGAAACGCAGAGCCGTCGACTTTCCCGATGTGAACCGTCAAATGTGCATCCTTTGCACACTTTCCTGTTTCTGTGGAAACACAGATGCAGAAACGTGTGTTTACTGCAGGTCCTTAGGAACAGCCCGCCATCCACACACCACTGGCTTCCCAGTGGCCACACACTTCCACTTCCCGTGCGATTGGGAGCCTCTTTTTCTGTCATTTTGTGTCAACTCACCTCATTCTTTCCATAAATGTGGTTTCATTGTGTGAAGCCTGCAGTTTGCTTAGTTGGTCCCCTATGGATGCAGCTGGCTTTACATTTGAGGCTAGGTGTTGCTGTTTAGTGGATTTTGTTAAGAGTAAAATCTATACGTGGTTTAAAATAAAAACCTTCAGCAGGGTCTGAGGGAAAAGGAGGTTCTGCACTTGCTCTGCACACCGATGGGGACGTCTGTCCTGTGGCCTCTGACGACTCGGATGCCTGTTCCTCTGTCCTTGCACCCTGCTGATGTGTAGGTGACCAGCGGGCTCTTTTCTGCTGGTCTCCCGGGTGTGCTCCTTGGAAACTGTTTCCTGTGCGTCCTTGCAGAAACATTCCGTGTGCATATCCAAGCACAGGAAGTAAGTGGATGGAAAAACTTTGTCTCTATAACAAAACCCTTCTGTTTCATAATTAAAACTAAAGCCAAAGTCAGATTTTATAATTTGGAGTCATTTTCCTCATGGAAAGAAACTAAGGGGCCGCTTATGCCTTGGTGCTGCTCTTAAAGCCGGTTCAGGGGCCAGGGGCTGCCCTCGGGGGCACCTGCTGGGGTGTGTGGCTCACCCTGGGGCTGCCGGGCTGGCTTCCCTGGGCTTCATTTCTGGGGAGGGCACGGGTCCCCCGGGCGTCTCCAGAGCCGAGGAGGCGGCAGCCTGGCCTGTCACACGGCATGGGGGCAACATCCCGGGCGCTTACCTGGTGACCGTAGCTGGTCTTGGTAGTCCGGTGTGTACGGGTCCACTGTCTGCATCAGCACATAGAGGCACAGGGCGAAGAGCCCAGTCATCACCACGTAGAAGGCCACGTAGTACAGGCTGATCCACACTGCGACACAAGGCAGGCACAAAATTTACCACGTCAGCCATTTTAACGCACACAATTCGGTGGCCTTGAGCGCGTCCGTGATGTGGCGTGACCATCTTCCCTACCTAGTTCCAGAACATTCTCCTCCCCCAAAACAGAAACCCCGTCCCCACAAACAGTCACTACAATCCCCTCCCAGCGCCGCACCACCGGCCACGTTCTGCCTCTGGGTTTGCCCGTCTGGACGTCCACATAGGCAGAATCCTGCGACCCGAGGCAGTTGCACCCAGCTGCCTTCACTCCAGCCGCTGTTTGAGATGTGGCCGAGGATGCGCCACCACCCCAGCTCCAGCAGGAACCGAGGGCCCTCTGAGGGGGGAGTTATGGTTCCCCCATCACAGGAAGGGAAACTGAGGCAGAGAGGTGGGGTCCTGCCCATGGTGACCCATAGTGCAGCCTGGAAGTGCATGGCCGGTCCTGCTTCCACAAAGACATCAGGAAGAGAAAGGGAGGAAGGGAAGCCCTGGAGATGGCTCTTCTCAGAAGCAAGGGTGTCCATAGGCACCGGCAACTCAGGGTGCAGCTTCATCTCATCTGCTTCTGAGACCCTCCTGTGAGCTTCCCCTGCAGCGTCAGAACCTAACGGAAGCCACCGTCCCCGTGGCCATGGGCGGCTCCTGGACACAGGCGACTGCCTGTGTGCTGTCTTCGTCTCTGTAAATTAGCTTGTGTGGATCGCAGGAGGCATTTGCAGGGAGACACCGGCAGGAAGAGGACGGTTTTGTGTTTGCTACGGCTTTTGTCTTTCTGGAAAGTCTGTAATGAACTGGGCCTCCTGCTCCTCCTCTCCGCTGATGTGGCATGGATTCTGCTTAGTGAGCCGTTCTCCAGTGACCCAAAACACAACCAAAGGGCAGGACCAAGTCAGAGAAGCAAGGGAGTGCAGGGCCAAGAGGCCAGAGCCCTGAGCTGTGATGAGAGGCTGTGGCCTGTGGACTGCCTGCCCTCTTCTGTGAGCTGGGACAGCACAGATCTCTGAGCCAGGTCCCTTCAGCACCAGCTGGGCTCAGGGCTGGGTCTTGCTCACCTGGCATCCACTTTGAGTCCCTCCTTTCCCCGCCGGGCGTCCCTGGTGACGGCGTTCTTGTGTGGCCACAGCAGCTTGGCTTCAGCCTCCGGTTTTGAGTTTCCAGCTTCAGCAGTGTGGGGCCCGCAGTGGTGGAGGGTTTCTGTCCTGTCACTGGATCACGCCTGGTGCCTCCCTGGTGCTGGCCCTGCAGGTCCTGCCTCAGTGTCCCCAGGTCACTCCTGATGTGGCTTCTATTTGACTTGGCCGCCTGTCCCCCGGGGACCTACGCTCGTGACGGCAGGGGTCTCTGTTCCCCCGCTGTGGGTCCTGTGGGTCTGCTCTGGGGCCCGTGGTGCACAGTGGAGATGTGGGCGGTGCGTGTCTCCCCAGTGGCTGCTGACCCACTCTGTGGCGAGTCTCAGCTCCACCAGGCGGCTCAGCCCTGCCTCCCGGGTAGGAGCCCGAGGTTGGCCAGGCTGGGCCCAGGCTCGGGAGGGCCATGCTCCCTGCACTTCCTGGGCCCCCGCTTGCACCACGGTGTTCAGGGCACGCTGCAGTGCACAGGGGAGGGGTTGGGAGGTGACTGAGAGTCCCATTCCCGCCAGCTCCTGGGGCCGGCCGGGTGCAGCTCACTCTGCCTCTCCTGCACCTGCACCCGTCCCCCAATTAGTAAGAATAACGTGTCCTATTCCTTTTGTTTTTGTCATTTCACTTGAGTTGTGTTTTCCTGGGGCCCTAAGACTTTCTTATCCCAAACGGAGGCCATGTCTACCGGCCAGGCAGTGAGACCATTCCAGAAGGTTCTCTGTGGCCCTGCAGCCAGGAGGCGGCACATGGGAGTCTCAGCATCTAGAATGGCCCAAAAGATGGGGCTTCCAAGGACCTGGCCGGCAGCCCCCAGCCCAGCCCCCGCCCTCAGCTCCTTCCCCATCCTGGCCTCCCGCTCTGCCGCCCCGCCTGGCCCAGGAGGCCCTTCTGCCCCCGGTCCCTGCCTCTCTAGGAACGGGGTATTTGTTCTACTTCAAATGCGCCCATGACTCCAGCTGGCTCTGGTGCCCTTTGAGACCGTGGAGCCTCCAGCGGGGGCTGCAGCCTTCACCAGCACTGTGGTGAGTGTGGGGGATTTGGCAGCGTGTCACGGGCATTCCCAGCACGTCTCAGCTACACACACAGGTGGGGCGGGCCTGGGGCTTTGCATTCCCACCTCGGCTCTGGGACCCCCAGAGCCGGGCACCGTGGGAATTGAGGAGGGCCTGACCTTCCCTGGGAGCCGGGGACGGCACCAGGCCAGCCAGTTCAGCCGCATCCCGACGCCCAGGGGTCGCAGGGGGAGGTGGGGGCGCACAGGTGCTTCCTCCAGACTCTCTCATAAGGGGTGAGGGCGTTTCCCGGAACGGGTGTGGCAGCCCTGATGTAGACGCAGACGCTTCCACCACCTGTGTGGCCTTGGAGGCCCAGGCATCTGCTTTCCTCCCAGGAGGGCCAGGCTGCCCGCGCCTCTGTGCAGCCACGGGGACAGGACCCTGCAGGGCAGACCTCGCACAAGGCGCAGGTGCTGCAGGCTGAGGCAGGCCTGGTTTACTCCCCACCTCCGCATCTGGACGCCAGCGGGTGTCCCGGAAAGGGGCTGGCAGCCGCGTCTCGGCAGAGCCCCTTATTCAGGTCATTGCGTGAATCTGTGTGACCAAGGAATCACCGTTGCCACCTTTCACGTTATTTTCAAAATGATTCACTTTAGAAACATACTTTTAAAATGCTGTTCTCAGACATACGGCTGACATTTGGGGCCAGTCTGTGGACGCCCTCCACCGGCGTTCTGCAGCTGGGGCTCCAGGTCAACTCAGCCTTCAGGATGCTCTGGGGACCCTCGCTTTCCCTGGGAGGCAAGTGAGGCCCTGGCCGAAGCCCGTCCACGCCATCCAGGCAGCATCGGGGTCTCACTGTCAGGGGCCCTCTGCTCCCCTCCTCCTGAGCTCACCTGGAGGCTGCGTCCTCAGAGCGGCCCCCTCCATGCACCCAGCCGGCCCGCCCCCCGCACGTACCCCACCGGGACAGGGTGCGGCCCAGCATCTGCCCCGTGTCCGGGTTCCAGCAGTAACGCTGGAACTCCTCCATGCGCTGGCCACACGTCTTCTTCTCCTGCAGAGCCGCCATCGTCCCTGGCCTGAGATCCTCCCGTCTGCTCCCTGCACCCTCTACGCCCAGACTGAGGCCAGATGCCCACCTCTGGGCTTTATAGTTTCCTCTGCCAGAGGTCAAAGGCATCGCAGGCGAAGGATCCCAGGGAGAGGCCAGGGCCGTTTATCAGCGCCGGCCATCGCCTCACCAAACACCAGGGGCTGGGTGCAGCCCGGCTGTTGCCCCTGGGGCGGGCCAGGCCCGCTTTCCTCACCCTGCTGCTCTTGGGACGCCCTTGGCTGCAGCTTTGTCTGCTCTGATTGCGGTGAGGGCACGTTCCGGGGTGAGCAGCACTCACAGGCCCTTCCCCTTCCCTCCTCTCCTTCAGGAGGGAGATTGAGGTCAGAGCAGAGCCGGCCTGGACCCACTGTGTCCACGACCTTGGGCTGAGCCAGCTGGGGCCGCATCCCTGGCCTGGGAGGGCGTGAGGCAGGCGAGTGAGGGGCGACCGGCTCCCTGGGCCCCCCGCTGCGGCCGCCCCGATTCTGGGTCACCCAGTGGAAGGGTGAGCCTGGCAGCTGGAGCTGGGTTGGCAGGGAACACAGGGGTCCCCGGGGACTCCTCTGCCTCCCAGATTCACCCAGAGCAGCAATAGCCTCTTAGATCCCCAGAGGGCAGTGGCACCGAGGGCCCTTTAGGATTTTTTTGTGTCCATGGAGGAATTCATAAACACAAACCCCTAAATCTAGTGGTCCTCAAAATGAAGTGCACAGGAGCCCTGAGCATCTGTTGAATGCAGATTCAGCCCAGCGAGTCCTGTGGGGGCCCCAGACTGCATTTCTAACAGTGCTGGTGGGAGGGAGTAAGGCAGGGTCCAGGTGGGGGATGCTCAGCCTGGGCAGTACCTCGGGGTCACCGGGGGTCCGGGCAGTGCACTGGGGTCACAGGGCCGGGGCAGGGACCATGAAGTCATCACTGCCCACTTCCGCCCGGAGATTCTGCCTGAGCCTCTCGCCCATGGGTCCGAGCACCAGGACGTGGAGGGCTCCCAGGCAGTCTTGTTGGGCGGCGCACTTCAGAACCCCGGCTCAGACGCTTTGCTGTTGGAGACAGGGGTCCTGGATGGCAGATGCCATTGCTGCCTGCTGGCTGCAGTGCCCATCTCTGCAGGAGGTTGATGGGAATGCAGGGCAAATGAAATGTGCTCAGGGGCCTTCTGACAAATATGATTCGAAGTCGACTAGCCCTGTGTGTCCAGAATTACATGCAGAGTTTCCCATACTGTCAACTCTAGGCCGTCCCTCTCAGGGACCCGTGTAACCAAATTCATTTCTTAGAAGAAACAAAATTCCTCTAGGCATTACGCTGCTTTAATTTTTTAGGATAATTTAGAGTTTGCAAAATAATTGCCCTAAAATTCAAATGGAATGATGTCATTTTAGCCTGGATTCCTATCATTTCTTTTCTTTTTTTTAATTTCTAATTTTTATTTCTTTTATTTTTTTGTAGAGATGGGGTCTCCCTATGTTGCCCAGACTGGTTTAGAACTCCTGAGTTCAAGGGATCCTCCCACCTCGGCCTCCCAAAGTGTTAGGATTACAAGCGTGAGCCCCTGCGCCCAGCCATAATTTCTTAATGGACCTATCCTTCCTTTAACATTGTACCCATTTCTGACTTTGGAATGTTAGGGCGATAAGAACACAGGGTCTGGCAGTAAAGGCCACAGTCTGATTGTTCACAGACTGTGGCCCTGGGACCCCAGAGTGCCAGGGGTCTGACAACACCTGGATGCAGCAACTGTTGTCTGTGAAGGGTATAGATGCTCTTGAAATGAACAAAGTATGAATTATTTCTAAACATCTTTGAATTTAGTCTTCCTAATGTAGTCTCTGAATTTCCAGAAGCAGGTACATGTGCTGAGCTGTACACATGTTATCAGAATGACCTTCTTCTGGACACATACGTGTGGGGAGGAGGGCCAGAGACCTTGGTAGAGGGCAGTTTCCCCACAGCATGCTCTGAAAACATAGAACTAGGTGCTCTATACAAATTGGGTGCCAGACAATGAGGGGGGCCCAGAATCCCACCCACATCTGGCAGCCACCGGTCACCCCTCTCTCCCCCCATCTGAGTGGTGTCAGACACAACGTAGTAGAAAGTTAGGACTGTGACCACCACACAGTGACAAGGCCACCTCCCACTGTGGTGTCAGTGGAGACCATATGGAAAGCCAGGACTGCTACCCACCCACCCAACAGTCCTCAGGAGCCCACCCAAAGGTTCCCAGTGGGAAACCTAGACTTCTGGCCCCACATGGTGTTAACAAGGTGAAGCCTCTCCCTTTTGCTGCTGAAGTGGGGTCAGAGAAAGCCAGTAAAAAGAGAAGGATTAAATAATATGAAAACGTCTGGGTTTCAGTAGATAACCACTCATCACACAAAGAACGAGGACGATTTTAAGATGAATTAATACAAAGCTGGGTGTTTTGGCTCATGCCTGTTATCCCAGAGCTTTGGGAGGCTGGACTGAGAGGATCGTTTTAGACCAGGAGTTCCAGACCAGCCTGGGCATCTCTGCTAAAAAATTAAAAAATTCTAAAAATGAATTTAAAAAGACAATATATGCCAACACCAAGGTGACAGAGATGTTAGGATTAGCTGCCAAAAATTTTAAAGCAGCCATGATAAAAATGCTTGAATAGCAATTACAAACAAGCCTGAAACAAATGAAAAACTAGAAAGCTGCAAAATATGGAAAGCAAACTGATAGAACTAAAAGTAGACATAAACACATCCACAATTATAGTTGGAGATCTCAACACTCCTCTCTTAACAATTGATAGAACAACCAAATAGAAAATTAGCATGGATACGGAAGAACTCAACATCATCAACCAACAGGATGTCATTGACATTCGCAGAATACTCAACAGAGAATACACATTCTCTTTAAGTCCCCATGAAATATATATCAAGATAAGCTGTATCTTGGGCCATAAAGGAAGTCTTAGCAAATTTAAAGAATTCAAATCATACAGAGTATGTTCTCCAATCACAATGGAATCAAATTAGATATTAATAACAAAGATAACAGAAAAACCTCCAAATATGAAACCTGAACAACATACTTCTAATACTCATGAGTCAAAAAGGAAGTTTCAAGGGAAATTTAAAAATACATGGAACTGAATGAAGAAAAAATACACCATATAAGAACTCAAGGGACATAGCTAAAGCAGTATTAAGAGGAAAATTTATAGCACTAAAAATGCATATTTTAGAAAAGAGGACAAGTCTCAAAAACCCTAAGCTCTCATCTCACAAATGTAGAAAAAGAAAAGCAAGTAAAACAAAGCAAAAGCAAGCAAGCAAACAACAGCAGCAACAAAAACAAGCAGAAGGAAGAAATTAAAAGATAAGAGCAGAAACCAATGAACTTGAAAATGCAAAAGCAATAGAAAGGACTAGTTCTTTGAAAATGTAAATAAAATTAATAAACCTGTAGCTAGAGAGAAGGCTGAGATAACTGATAGCAGGAATAAAATAGGAGCTATCACTACAGACCCTGCAAACATCAAAAAGATAAGGAAGGAAATACTTGCGCAATTCTACATACATAAACTTTACAACTTAGATAATGGGCTGCTTCATCAAAAATCACAACTCACCCGACTTCAAATAGATAATGTAAATAGCCTATAACTATTAAGGAAACTGAATTAATAATTTAAAATCTCCCAATAAAGAAACCTCTAGGCCCAGATGATTTCATGGGACAATTCTACCAAACACTTAATAGAGAACACCAATTCTTCACCATCTTTTGGAAAATAGAAGAAGAGGAAATATTTTCCAACTCATCTTATAAGACCAGTGTTACCTTTATAACAAAATCAGACAAGGATAGTTCAAAAAAGAGAACTACAGATCAATATCCCTCATGAATATAGATGCAAAAACCATAAATAAAATTTGGTAAGTTGAATCCAACAAAGTATAAAAAGCAAATGCCATGACCAAGCGGGATGTATTCCAGGAATGCAAGGCTGGTTCAGTATTCAAAACCCAATCAGTGTGATCCACCACATTAACAGGCTGAAGAAAAACCACACAATCATATCAATCAGCAAAGAAAAAGCATTTGATGAAATTCAGCTTCCATGTGACAAAAGCTCTCAGCAAACCAAGAGTAGAAGGAAGCCTGTTCAACTTGATTAAAAGCATTGACAAAAAACCCACAGCTAACAGTATGCCCAATGGTGAAAGATGAAACGTTTTTTACCCCAAGACCGGGAACAAGCCCCTCATTTTTATCCAACATTGTACTGGAAGTTCTAGCTAGAGCAATGAACAAGAAGAGGAAATAAAAAGCATGAATATCAGAAAGGAAGAAATAAAACTGTCCTTATTTGCAGATAACATGAATGCTTATGTAGAAAATCTCAAAGAATCCATAACAAAACTCCTACAGCTGTTAAGTGAGTTTAGCAAGGTCTCAGGATATGAGATGAAGGTGCAAAAATCCACTGTACATCTATATACTAGCAATAGGCATATGGATACCAAAATTAAAAACACAATACCATTTATGATTGCTCAACACCAAGAGGAATATTTAGGTGTTAATAACAAAACATGTACAGGACTTGCATGCTGAAACCCATGTAATATTGATGAAAGAAATTAGAGTTTGAATAAATGGAGACACACACTATGTTTGTAGTGTGGAAGACTCAACATAACAAAGAGATCAATCTCCCCAAATTGATATAGGGTGCAACATAATTCCTATCAAAATCCAGACACAATGTTTTTGGTAGATATATACAAGATTATTCTAAAATTTATATAGAAAAGCAAAGGAACTAGAATAAGTAAATATTTTCTTGCATATTTTGAACATAGGGTTTTTTAAACATTTTTTGAAATTTTTTTTGAAAAACAAGAATAAAATGGGAGGACTCAGTCTACCCAATTTCAAAGCTTATTATGTAGCTGTGGTGATCAAGATTGTATGGTATGGTCAGAGGGAGACACATAGATCAATGGAACAGAAGAGAAAATCCAGAGGTGGACCCACACAATATGTGCAACTGATTTCTGACAAAGGCGCAAAAGGAATTCAATGAAGCAAAAATAACCTTTTCAACAAACAGTGCTGGAGCTATTGGATATCCATTGGCCAAAGGGGGAGGAAAAAGACCTTCAACCTCTTAAACCTTCTATAAAAAGTAACCCAAAGTGGATATGAACGTAAATGTAAATTGTAAAACTATAAAACTTTTAGGAAAAATATGGGAGAAAATCTTCAAGATCTGGGGCTGGACAACACCAAAAGCACAATCTATAATATTTATATTCAACAAAATTTAAAACTTCTGCTCTATGAAAGCCCATATAGAAAGGAGGCAAAGAGAAGCTATCACTGGGAGAGGATATTCGAAAACCGCATGTCTGACAAAGGACTGCTATCTGATATTGATAGAATCTCAAAACTCATGACAGGAAAGCAAACAATCCAGTTGTTACATGGTCAAAAGATGTGAAGAGACATTTCACCCAAGAGCACGCACAGATGGCAATGCACACATGGAAAGGTGTTCTTCCACCATTAGGGAAATGTAAATTACAACCGTAAGGGAATACTCCACACCTACCAGGAGGGCCAAAACAAGACTGTGGCAGCGCTAAACTCTGGGGAGGATCCTGAGGAAGAATCTGCTCACCATCGCTGGTGGGAATGTAAAATGGCACGGCCACTCCAGAAAACAGCTTGCCGGTTTCTTCAAAACTAAACGTGCAATTACGACACTTTTAGGCATTTACCCCAGAGAAATAGAAACTTCTATTCACACAAAGGCCTACACAGATGTTTATAGCAGCTTTATAGCTAAACACTGGAAACGATCCAGCCGTCCTTCAACCGGTGAACGGCGAAACGGACTGTGGCACTCTCCTCTGTGGAGCACACCACAGAGACGAGGAGGGAATGGCTGACACCTGGGAACAGTGCTGAGTGAGAAATGCAGGTCCTGAAAGGCTACATAGTGTCTGACTCCATTCATGTGACGTGCTTAGAGAAGTCGTGGTTGCCGGGCATTGAGCAGGGCGGGCTGGGGGAACTTCGGTGCATCTGTGAGCAGCACAGGAGGGTCCCGTGGATGGAGGCGGCCTCTGTCTCAGCCATATGGATGCCAATATCCTCGCTACTTGGCAAGATGTCATCATTACAGGAGACAGAGTTAAGGGTACACAGGATCTCTCTGGATTGTTTCTTAACATGGCATGTAAATCCACAATTATCACAGAATAAAGAGTTTAATTAAAAAGGGATTTTCAGGGCCAAATGAATTTGGGAAACGACATACTTTACTTCTCTTTGAGAGACACGTTCACTCTGAAATCACTGAATAAACCCTGTGATGGACACGTTTCACATATTTTTAACTTTGCTTGTTTAACATATTTAACTTTATTTAACCGAACGCTTCCCAACATGACTGCAGGTGGAACGGCCCCCAGTCCAACAGGAAGCCATCCTCCTCAGACCCTACGCCTCCACAGCATCAGCACCACCTGTGAGCTTGTTACAGGTGCAGTCTTGGCCCACCTGGCCACTGAAGCAGACTCTTTATTCCAGCAAGGTCTCCGGGCGATTCATGTGTGTAGCTGTTTGAGGCATGAACCAGGACAGGCAGCGAGACGTCAGCAGAGACGGCTACACTTCACAAAGCACCACAGTTGCCCCATTGGGTGAGCAGGCAGGAAGGAGTTAACGTGATCCGCCCAAGGTCACTGCTGTGAAGGGCAGGGCTGGGCCCGTGCAGGGCTCCTGGTGAACGATGGGATATCACTCACCTCAAATATTTACTCGTGATCCACCTGCCAAAGCCCTCAGGAGACCGTGGGGACGTCGGCTCGGTCTGCGGGCCCTCGCTTCGGCCTCTGTAGACCCTGCCAGGTGCAGCCCCCAGTGCCCTCCCACAGTTGCCTCTTCTCCCACGTGGAATGGGGTGGGCTGACAGTCTCCACCTCTCTATGCTCCGGCATTCTTCCTTTCTGCGACCCTTTGCTTCCTCCCTGTGTGAGCTGGAACCAATCCCCTGCTGAATTCCTCCTCATTCTTCTCCAAACCTTTATTGAGTACCTACTGTGTGCTGGAATAAGACAGGCAGGGCCATGCCCTCATGAAGCTGACAATCCTATTGGTGTGACCATCCCCAGGTGTGTCCCAGGTGTGTTGCAGGTGTGTCCGAGGTATGCCCCAGCTGTCCCAGGTGTGCCCCAGCTGTCTCAGATGTGCCCCAGCTGTCCCAGGTGTGTCACAGCTGCATTGCAGGTGTGCCCCAGTTGCATTCCATGTGTGCTCCAAGTGTGTACCAGCTGTCCCAGGTGTGTCTCAGGTGTGCCCCAGCTGTATCCCAGGTGTGCCTCAGCTGTCTTAGGTGTGTCTCAGGTGCATCCCAGGTGTGTCTCAGATGTGCCCCAGCTGTCCCAGGTGTGCCCCAGCTGTCCCAGGTGTGCCCCAGCTGTCTCCAGTGTGTCCCAGCTGTGCCCCAGGTGTGTGTCCTAGGTGTGCCTCAGCTGTCTCAGGTGTGCCCCAGGCATATCCCAGGTGTGCCCCAGCTGTCCCAGGTGTGTCCTACGTGTGCACCAGCTGTATCCCAGGTGTGCCCCAGGTGTGTCTCAGATGGGTCCCAAGTGTTCCCCAACTGCATTTCAGGTGTCTCAGGTGTGCCCAAGCTGTCCCAGGTGTGTCCAAGATGTGCCCCAGGTGTGTCTCAGGTGGGTCTCAAGTGCCCCAGCTGCATTTCAGGTGTCTCAGGTGTGCCCCCCAGTGCATCCCAGGTGTGTCCCAGGTGTGCCCCAGGTGCATCCCAGGTGTGTCCCAGGTGTGCCCCAGCTGTCTCAGGTGTCTCAGGTGTGCCCCAGGCATATCCCAGGTGTGCCTCAGCTCTCCCAGGTGTGTCCTACATGTGCACCAGCTGTATCTCAGGTGTGTCTCAGGTGTGCCCCAGATGTGCCCCCGGTGTGTCTCAGGTGGGTCCCAAGTGTTCCCCAGCTGCATTTCAAGTGTCTCAGGTGTGCCCCAGGTGTGCCCCCGCTGTCCCAGGTGTGTCCAAGATGTACCCCAGGTGTGTCCCAGCTGTCCCAAGTGTGTCTCAGGTGTGCCCCAGGTGTGTTCCAGGTGTTCCCCAGCTGTCCCAGCTGTCCCAGGTCTCAGGTGTGCCCCAGGTGTGTTCCAGGTGTTCACCAGCTGTCCCAGCTGTCCCAGGTCTCAGGTGTGCCCCAGGTATGTTGCAGGTGTTCCCCAGCTGTCCCAGCTGTCCCAGGTGTGTCCCAGGTGTTCCCCAGGTGTGTCCCAGCTGTCCCAGGTGTGTCCCAGATGTGCCCCAGGTGTACCCCAGGTGTTTCTCAGGTGGATTCCAGGTGTGTCCCAGGTGAGCCCCAGCTGTATTCCATATGCGTCCCTCTGAGTGGGGCCTTGGTTTGATGTAGCTCCGGGGATCTTCTGCTCCCTGGTCCTGGTGTCACCAGCAACTGCCTCTTGACAATCCTGCCTTGCCTGCAAACCCCAGGTGAGAAGAAGACAAATGACTGGGAACTGACCCCTCAGTAAGCGCTGGTGGTCTCACCTACAGACCCCCAGGAAGCTGGTCACTGTGGGCTTCTTTTCCTCTCTAAATTCCTATTATCAGGTGGTTTTCTTTCTCATTTGCTATTTTCTTAAAAATAAAAATAGGGAAAAACAGCCTTTGTAAATTACGGTTTCTTCCGGCTCCATCCTCTCCGTCAGGCCCACATCCCAAGGAAACAGCAGGCTTGAGCCTGGCTGCTGAAGCCAGGGGCTGGATGGAGCAGCTCAGAACAGAGCTTTGAGTGCCTCTCCAGCCAGGGGCCCCAGAAGCCTGGTGGTTGTTTGTCCTTCTCAGGGGAAAAGTGAGGCGGCCCCTTGGAGGAAGGGGCCGGGCAGAATGATCTAATCGGATTCCAAGCAGCTCAGGGGATTGTCTTTTTCTAGCACCTTCTTGCCACTCCTAAGCGTCCTCCGTGACCCCGGCTGGGATTTAGCCTGGTGCTGTGTCAGCCCCGGGCTCCCAGGGGCTTCCCAGTGGTCCCCAGGAACCCTCGACAGGGCCAGGGCGTCTCTCTCGTCCAGCAAGGGCAGGGACGGGCCACAGGCCAAGGGCAGCAGTCAGGCCTGCTCTGTCTGTGAACGCTCCCGGCTTGGCCTCGGCTGATGGGCCCTCACGCCTGAAGCGGGCAGGAAGCTCCGGGATGGATTTCGGGTCTTTGGAGACCGTGGTGGCCAACTCTGCCTTCATCGCCGCCCGAGGCAGCTTTGACGGCAGCAGCTCCCAACCCTCCCGGGACAAGAAGTACCTGGCCAAGCTCAAGCTGCCCCCGCTGTCCAAGTGTGAGTCCCTCCGCGACAGCCTCAGCCTGGAGTTTGAGAGTGTGTGCTTGGAGCAGCCCATCGGCAAGAAGCTCTTTCAGCAGTTCCTACAATCGGCAGAGAAGCACCTGCCGGCCCTGGAGCTCTGGAAAGACATCGAGGACTATGACACGGCAGACAATGACCTCCAGCCACAGAAGGCCCAGACCATCCTGGCCCAGTACCTGGACCCCCAGGCCAAACTCTTCTGCAGCTTCCTGGATGAGGGGATAGTGGCGAAGTTTAAGGAGGGGCCTGTGGAGATCCAGGACGGGCTCTTCCAGCCCCTGCTGCAGGCCACCCTGGCACACCTGGGCCAAGCCCCCTTCCAGGAGTACCTGGGCAGCCTGTACTTCCTGAGGTTCCTGCAGTGGAAGTGGCTGGAAGCCCAGCCCATGGGGGAGGACTGGTTCCTGGACTTCAGGGTCCTAGGGAAAGGGGGCTTCGGGGAGGTGTCGGCCTGCCAGATGAAGGCGACCGGCAAGCTGTATGCCTGCAAGAAGCTGAACAAGAAGCGGCTGAAGAAGAGGAAGGGCTACCAGGTGAGCAGCGCGACCCGGCCAGCAGGGATGGGGTGGCAGGGTGCAGGGATGGGGCGGCAGGGTGCAGAGGGCCCCCAGGTCACTGTCGGCTCCGGGGCCCTTAACAGCTGGTGCCTAAGGGAGCATGCATGCCAGCCTCGCCACGTGGGCGCCCCGCGGCCGTGCGGTTACGAGCAGTTCCAGTCCATGTGCAGAAGTCCCTCCTCGGAGAGTGACCTCCACATTTTTGGGTGGGGACGTGCCACGTTCACTCGTCGGTTTTTCACCAACCACAGACTAGCCTCAAGTGTGGGGGAAAGAGGACCTCTCAGGGGAGGCTGAAGAGGGGCAGGGTCTCCGGATTCTTTGCCATGACTGTGGAAGACTTTCCAGGGCCCTGGCTCCTCTGATCGCAGCGAATGCAGGAGGAACTGAGGCAGGACGGAGGCAGCCTCGCTCTGATGACAGTTTCTGTGAGGCAGAGCCTGGCGTGACGCCGGGGGCAGGAACTGTTCCCCTGAGTGTGCTGTCCTCGGGGGTGGGAGTGAGCGACGGGCACGCAGGCCGCTCTAAGTTTCATCCGCTCTGCCCACTGGCGTCAGACTGTGCATCTGGGGCAGGATCAGCAGAAGCTGCTTACAGGTCTTAAGGGTGAGGGGCAGCGGCTGTGCCGGGTGTGGACGTGATCTCCTGAGCCAGCCCCCTGCACTTTGACTCCACGTGGCTCCTGGCCCCTCTCCCACCACGCAGCTGTGTTGAGTGCACAGGAAGCTCTTAGGGTTAAGCAGCAGCCACTGTGCACCCTGGCTCTGCGGAACCTCAACCCTCAGTGAAGGTGAAATACCAGGTGCTCACAGCGCTGGGCGGAGGCCCTGGAACATCTGCGTGTTCTCGCCGTGGAACTCGGGGCGAGTAACTATGCTGTGTGGTTGTAGCAGTAATTTTTAAAAATTAGCTTTCTTGACATCTAATTCCCCCACCGTGCCATTCACATCTAACTGTAAATTTAACCCAACATTCAGCCTCTTTTCCTGACTTCCGTCACCAAACTGAACTCCATACTGACATCAACTGAACACCTCCCCATGTAAGTGCAGAAAGGGGCCTCCGACATCAGGAATTCCCTCTTCAAAGAGGGATGTGCTATCCTTATCCAGACACTTACAAACTCGTTCAATGGAGCATTGTGAGGTTTCAAAATAAAGACAAAATGAAGCAGAGTGGTGAGGGGGTTTGGGAGGTGCTGGTCTGGGAGCCCAGCCCACGGGGGCCTGGACAGGAGGGAGGGCTGTGGCTGCAGGATTGCTGGGCAGGCGGGGCTGGCAGGGTCCTCACCCATGTTGCTCAGCCTTGGGGCTTGAGCCTCCCCTTGCCAGAGGCTGGCCCAGAAGACCAGAAGTCCCCTGTATGTGAAGGAATTCACATGTCTGGTTTTCTGAAATGGGGGTGCAGGCATGTTTTGAAGTCATTTGCAATTGCTTTGTGAAAGGCGCATTTAAAGCATGTTTGCGACTGCTCCGTGGCTGTGTGCAGTGGGCGTGGCCGGGTGCACACGGTCTCTGCGATGCACCTAGTCCCTTTCCTATTCAAAGCCAGTGCGTACTCAGCGTCTCACTTTTCAGGGTGCTATGGTGGAGAAGAAGATTCTGATGAAAGTACACAGCAGGTTCATCGTGTCTCTGGCCTATGCGTTTGAAACCAAAGCCGACCTCTGTCTGGTGATGACCATCATGAACGGAGGTGACATCAGGTAAGGGCTGGGCCAGAGGGCACGAGGGGGCCCCGCTGTCCCACTGGGTCAGGGTTTCCAGGGCCCGGGCTCCTTTCCACAGGCAGAGCCATGGTGGCCCCAGGCCTGCCCTCGAGGGAAGCCTTGCACCCATCACAATCCCCTTCTCGCTGTTGGTTCCTGAAACAATGCACCCTGGACCCACATCGGAGCAGGAGCCTGGGAGGCGCCCAACCTGACAATCAGGGCTCGTCCTGTGTGTGGTCTTGGTGTGGGTGTGGGAGGCACGTGGTGCTGTGGGGGACGTGTGATGCAGTCGGCGGGGCCTCTGCAGGGCTGAGGGCCTTGCACCAGGAGGGTAAATGAAGACGAACTTCACCAGCGCCCACTCCTAGGGCTGACCCTAGAGCTGGAGACAAGATCAGTCCAGCTGGGGGCCGTGATCTTGCTGTCCCCAGGCAGAGAGGAGGTGGCGCTGCCTCCACAAAGTCCTGCCCCGGATCTGCCGCTGAGACAGGCCCCAGGCCCGTGCTGGGGATCAGATCACAGGCTCGCTTGGTAGCTGGGCCGCTTAGCCACTGCGTGCTTCTGTTTCCTGGTCTGTAAAATGGGGAGAGATAATATCTGAGTCCAGAGACTGTCCGGAGATTAAGACAATACGTGTGAAATACCTGCAGTGTCTGATGCCCGTAAGGTTAGCAGTGGGCAGGGGCCATGGCTGTGGCTGGCAGCACCATGCCCCATTCTCACCTGCTTTTAATTTCCAAGGAAATTCCTCCAGGTGAGGCTGGTGGCCCCATTTTTCAGATGAGAAATGTGAGTCCAGACTAAGTCACCACGCGGAGGGGGCACTGGGAAGCGCAGACACAGGGGTGTCCAGGCGGAGGGGAGGGGGCGCTGGGAAACGCAGACACAGGGGTGCCCAGGCGGAGGGGAGGGGGCGCTGGGAAACGCAGACACGGGGTGCCCAGGCGGAGGGGAGGGGGCGCTGGGAAACGCAGACACGGGGGTGCCCAGGCGGAGGGGAGGGGACATTGGGAAGTGCACACACAGGGTTGTCCAGGAGGAGGGGAGGGGTGCTAGGAAGCGCGGTCACAGGGGTGCCCAGGGAGGGCCTGGTGGCTCTGGCCGCCTTGTGGTCCGCCTGGCTCCAGGGCCTCCTCTCCTGTTTCCTGTGACGATACTCCTGGTGCCACCTCGTTTAAATTATTTCTTGTTTAAATCATTTCTTTTATTTGTTAGGTTTTGCTTCTCTGCAAAACCTGTCCGTGGAAAACATAAGAGATGATGTTCTATGGGGGAGGAAAGAGGCTGAGAAGAAACACCTTACTGCAAATCTTTCATGAGTCTGATGAACTTGGGGCCTGCGGAGCTGCATCCCACCTCGGCCTCGGCCTGGCCCCTTCCTGAGACGGTCTGGGCTGTTTCCTAGCACCTGCGGCCCGCGCTGGAAAGCAGGCGGACAGGAGACGCACGTGGACAGCACTTTCTCCCTGTTAGCAGTTGGGGTTCAGGGTCCCTGAGCTGCTAACGCCGCCAGCCACCATGGCCTTCGGGTGTCCTCTGCAGGGACGTAGGGGGGCCAGGCCTCAAAACGACCAGAACGCTGGCCGAGAGACATGGTTCTGAGGCCCCAGCTCTGTCTTTCCATGATTTTACTCCCCATTAAACCCGGGGTGCATGGTTCCCACGTGTCTTCCCCCAGGTACCACATCTACAACGTGAATGAGGAGAACCCTGGCTTCCCGGAGCCGCGCGCCCTCTTCTACACGGCGCAGATCATCTGCGGCCTGGAGCACCTGCACCAGAGGCGGATCGTCTACCGCGACCTCAAGCCCGAGAACGTGCTGCTGGACAATGACGGTAGGAGGTGCCCTCGGCTGGGAGGGATGAGGGCTACGAGGAGGGCGGGGCGCAGCTTCCTTGGGGGTCTCTGCACAACCTCACGAGGGCTGACGGCTGTGTGGACGGTGGGGGTTCATGAGGGCTGACGGCTTCGTGGACGGTGGAGGTGTCATCGGGCACCAGGAGTCACAGGAGTGAGTGCAGGGGTCTGTGGTGCAGAACCAGCTGGGAACGGCGAGTCTGTTACGCCCAGTCCCCACCTTCCTTCTGCCTGAATGAGGCGTCACACAGGGATTCTTCTCAGAAATAAACACGAGGGTTTAGGCTCCCGACAGCGGCAGGTCAGGCAAGTGCGAGACACGTGCCAGGGCCCTGAGAGAGTGCGTGGGGGGCGGGGCGAGAGCCGAGGTGGGAGGATCTCGGTGGGCAACACTCACGCTCAGCTGTGGCACGGCCGGCCCTCTTCCCTACACCCTGCGCCCTCCACCGTCAGCCAGGGAGCCACTGTCAGTGTGCGTGGTGTGTGCTGTGTGCGCGTATGTGGTTTGTGGGGTGTGTGTGTGTGTTGTGTGTGGTGTGTGTGTGGCATATGGTGTGTATGTGTGTGCAGTGTGTGGTGTGTGATTGTGTGGTGTGTGCGGTGTGTGTAAGTCTGACTGGGGTGCTGGGGCCTCGTGGTCACTTGGTATGTGTATGTGTGGTGTGTGGTACCTGTATGGTGTGGTATCTGGTGTGGTACGTGGTATGTGTGGTATTGTGTGTGGTATGTGGAATGTGGTGTGTTCGTGGTGTGGTGTGTGTGGTATGTGTGGTATTGTGTGTGGCGTATGTGTGTGGTATCTGTATGGTGTGGTACATGGTATGTGTGGTAAATTGTGTGGTGTGTGTGTGTGAGGTGTGTATGTAGTCTTTGGTTGTTGACATGTGCTGTGTGTGTGGTATGTGGAATGTGGTGTGTGTGTTTGTGGTGTGGTGTGTGTGGTATGTGTGGTATTGTGTGTGGTGTATGTGTGTGGTATCTGTATGGTGTGGTACGTGGTATGTGTGGTAAATTGTGTGGTGTGTGTGTGTGTGAGGTGTGTATGTAGTCTTTGGTTGTTGACATGTGCTGTGTGTGTGGTATGTGGAATGTGGTGTGTGTGTTTGTGGTGTGGTGTGTGTGGTATGTGTGGTATTGTGTGTGGTGTATGTGTGTGGTATCTGTATGGTGTGGTACGTGGTATGTGTGGTAAATTGTGTGGTGTGTGTGTGTGAGGTGTGTATGTAGTCTTTGGTTGTTGACATGTGCTGTGTGTGTGTGGTATGTGGAATGTGGTGTGTGTGTTTGTGGTGTGGTGTGTGTGTGGTATGTGAGTGTGCAGTGAGTGTGGTGTGTCTGAGACCATGTGGGTTGTGTGTGGTGTGTCTGTGAGTTTGGCTGGGGAGGGGAGGATCCTGGGCACTGGGTGGTCCTTATGGCTGTTTGGTATGTGTGTATGTTTGTGGTGTGGTCGTGGGGTGTGTGTGTGGGGGGTGTGTGTGTATATGTTTATGGTGTGGTGGTGGAGTGTGTGTGTCTATGTGAGTCTGGCTAGAGAGGGGAGGCTTCTGGGTGCTGGGGCCTCATGGCTGCCTGGTATGTCTGTGTGTAGTGTGTGTGTGTCTGTGATATGTGTGTGTGTGGTGTGGTATGTATGGTATGGTCTGTGTGTGGTCTATGTGTGGTATGGTATGTATGGTGTGGTGGTGTGTCTGTGTGTGGTACGGTGTGGGTGTGTGGCGTGATCTGTGTAGTGTCTGTGGTTTGTGTGTGGTTTGTTCTGTGTGGTGTGTGTGGTGTGTAGTGTGTGTGTGTGGTGTGTAGTGTGTGTGTGTGGTGTGTAGTGTGTGTGTGTGGTGTCCATGGTGTGTGGTGTGATGTGTGGTGTGCGGTGTTCGTGGTGTGTGGTGTGGTGTCTGTGGTGTGTGATGTGTGTGGTGTGATCTGTGTGGTGTGTAGTGTGTGTGTGTGGTGTGATCTGTGTGTGTGTGGTGTCCATGGTGTGTGGTGTGATGTGTGGTGTGCGGTGTTCGTGGTGTGTGGTGTGGTGTCTGTGGTGTGTGATGTGTGTGGTGTGATCTGTGTGGTGTGTGTGGTGTGTGGTGTGTGTGTACGTGTTTGTGTGAAGGTGGCTCTGGGCTCCCGGCGCCTGTCCTGTGCAGCCAGGGGTGACTCCGCTATCTGCCTCTCAGGCAATGTCCGGATCTCTGACCTTGGGCTGGCCGTGGAGCTGCTGGACGGACAGAGCAAGACCAAGGGCTACGCAGGGACCCCAGGTAAGGGTCTGAGCGCAGCTGGGGAGGCTCCGTGCATGGGTTACGTCCCTGTGTACATGTGTGTGCCTGTGTGCACTTGCACATACATGTGAGTTTGTGTATATAGGTGTGTCTGTGTGCACATGGGCGTCTGTGTGGTTGTGCATTTGTGTGCATGTGAGTGTTGTGAACCCTGATATCTGAGGCAGGTACCAGTTAATTTAGAAAGTTTATTTTGCTGAGGTTGAGGACGCGAGTCCGTGGCAGCCTCAGGAGGTCCTGATGACAGGTGGTCGCCGCACAGTTTGGTTTTACACATTTTAGGGAGCCATGAGACATCAATCAGCATATGTAAGATGAACACTGGTTCGGTCTGGAAAGGCGGGAGGGGGCTTCCAGGTCATAGGAAGATGAGAGACAAATGGTTACATTCTTTTGAGTTTCTGATGAGTCTCTCCAGAGGAGGCAATCAGATAAGCATTTATCTCAGTGAACAGAGGGCTCACTGAGAGGACTTTGAATACAATGGGAGGCAGGTTTGCCATAAGCAGTTCCCAGCTTGACTCTTTCCTTTAGTGATTTTGGGTCTCAAGATATTTTCCTTTTACAGTGTGCCTGTGTGCATGCCTGTGTCTCTGTGCACACACGTGTGTCTGTGTGCCTGCATGTGTGCCTGTGTGCCCATGCCTGTGTCTCTGTGCACACGTGTCTGTGTGCCTGTGTGTGCATGCCCGTGTCTGTGCACACACGTGTCCGTGTACCTGTATGTGCATGCCTGCATCTTTGTGCACACATGTGTATCCGTGTGCCTGTGTCTGTGTGCATGTGTTCCTGTGTATGCATGCCCGGGTCTCTGTGCACACGTGTGTCCGTGTGCCTGTATGTGAGTGCACATGCACGGTGCATCCTACTGCCTCCCCCATCCCGTGTCACTCATCTCCTCTCACCTCCCCCCAGGCAGGGAGGCTCGCAGCACCTGTGGAGGAGAGGAGACCCCCACAGTCAAGCAGAGCGGGGTCCGTGTTCTGGGCCCAGCACCTGCTGGCGTGTGGCCTGTGTGCTTTACTTAACCTCCGAGCCTCCTGCTAGCACTCGGTGCACAGGCTTGCTGAGGAGACCTCACACGCCACGTGCCCGGCGCCTGTGTACAGCAGCCACACCGTGAATTTGAGTTCTTCCTCTCTCCTCCGCAGTCTTGAGGGTCCGCGTGTCGGGCTCACTTCTGCTGGGATTTCCAGAGAATGTCGCTTCCCCGTGGTTGTTTTGGCTGTGGGGAGGCAGTGCTGTCGCCTGATGGGGTTTGTGTGCGGTGGTGTTTTGGGTCCTCCCATGCTGGTGTTTAGGCACTGGGCGTATTTGTGCCGTGGCCACGGGGGGGACATCCTCGCTCCAGCTGGACTTAGGGGAAGGTGCATCTCGGGGTGGGGGCTAAGGACTGTTTCCCCAAAGTTCTGACGAAGGGCAGTTCTGTGCCCACACCCCTCATGGCTGGGTTGCCATCTGGATGTGGGATTCCGTAGCCACTGAGTGCTCAGGGCCAGTGGTCGAAGGTCTCAAAACTTTCTGGAAGGCAGCTCATCCTGGGGGATCCCATGGCTCAAGGAAGCCTCGGGTGGCACCTGCTTTTCGTGAGATGATCCAAGCCTCTTTCTGGGTGGGTAGAAACGGTTGGCGCTGCGGCCCTCGAGTCTTTGGGACCCTTGCCAAGCCTGGGTGTGAGCGCGTGGGTGGAAGCCCCCTCACGCATTTCGGGGAGATCCAGGTGGACTCCGAGGCCAGGACTGGAAGAGTTAACCTCACGGATGGAAAGGGCCCAGCTTCCAGGCCGAGGGTGAGGGCCCGACTGGCCGCCAGGGGGCCCCAAGCCTTCGCCGGCGCCCGTTCCTCGGAGCCCCAGGTGCTCACAGCAGGGCTGGGCTCAGGCTGTGACCCCTGCACAGTGACCTGGAGATGCTGCCGTCAGGGTGCAGGCTGGGAGGCCGGTGTCAGTTCAGCAAAGCCGCAGGGTCCGCATCCTTCTTCCTGGCACCCTCGCGCCCTCCCACGCGCCCCCCACGCAGCGAGAGACACCACAGCCATAAGAAGCCTGTCGGGGGACTCCCCCTTGCCAGTGCGGTGCGGACCCAGGGGCGTGCACAGGGCGGGGCCGGTCATGCGCGGTCCTAGTTTGAGGTCAGGGGCGGGATCCAGGGGCGTGCACAGGGCGGGGCCGGTCATGCGCGGTCCTAGTTTGAGTTCAGGGGCGGGATCCAGGGGCGTGCACAGGGCGGGGCCGGTCATGCGCGGCCCTAGTTTGAGGTCAGGGGCGGGATCCAGGGGCGTGCACAGGGCGGGGCCGGTCATGCGCGGTCCTAGTTTGAGTTCAGGGGCGGGATCCAGGGGCGTGCACAGGGCGGGGCCGCTCATGCGCGGCCCTAGTTTGAGTTCAGGGGCGGGATCCAGGGGCGTGCACAGGGCGGGGCCGGTCATGCGCGGTCCTAGTTTGAGTTCAGGGGCGGGATCCAGGGGCGTGCACAGGGCGGGGCCGGTCATGCGCGGCCCTAGTTTGAGGTCAGGGGCGGGATCCAGGGGCGTGCACAGGGCGGGGCCGGTCATGCGCGGTCCTAGTTTGAGTTCAGGGGCGGGATCCAGGGGCGTGCACAGGGCGGGGCCGGTCATGCGCGGCCCTAGTTTGAGGTCAGGGGCGGGATCCAGGGGCGTGCACAGGGCGGGGCCGGTCATGCGCGGTCCTAGTTTGAGGTCAGGGGCGGGACCCAGGGGCGTGCACAGGGCGGGGCCGGTCATGCGCGGTCCTAGTTTGAGGTCAGGGGCGGGATCCAGGGGCGTGCACAGGGCGGGGCCGGTTATGCGCGGTCCTAGTTTGAGGTCAGGGGCGGGATCCAGGGGCGTGCACAGGGCGGGGCCGGTTATGCGCGGTCCTAGTTTGAGGTCAGGGGCGGGATCCAGGGGCGTGCACAGGGCGGGGCCGGTCATGCGCGGTCGTAGTTTGAGGTCAGGGGCGGGATCCAGGGGCGTGCACAGGGCGGGGCCGGTCATGCGCGGTCGTAGTTTGAGGTCAGGGGCGGGATCCAGGGGCGTGCACAGGGCGGGGCCGGTCATGCGCGGCCCTAGTTTGAGGTCAGGGGCGGGATCCAGGGGCGTGCACAGGGCGGGGCCGGTCATGCGCGGCCCTAGTTTGAGGTCAGGGGCGGGATCCAGGGGCGTGCACAGGGCGGGGCCGGTCATGCGCGGCCCTAGTTTGAGGTCAGGGGCGGGATCCAGGGGCGTGCACAGGGCGGGGCCGGTCATGCGCGGCCCTAGTTTGAGGTCAGGGGCGGGATCCAGGGGCGTGCACAGGGCGGGGCCGGTCATGCGCGGTCCTAGTTTGAGTTCAGGGGCGGGAGAATTTGTGAACAGAGCAGGTAGAGCTGTCTCCCTCACGCTTTCTGTCAATATTTACTGGCCGCTGCGTGGCTGCAGGTCCCTCAGGAGGCCTGGGGCACAAACAGGTGCGCCGTCCGGGCTGCATCATGGGGGTCAGGCCAGGAGGGCTGGGGGCTCCTTGGCCCAGGAACTGACAGGAGCCTGCGGTCTGGTGGGCCTTGCTCGTGCCCGGCCTGGGAGCTGAGAAGGCTCTGGGTGGGTCTAGAGGCTGTGATCGTGTGAGCAGTTCCTCCCCGGAGTCTGGGCAGAATTCTGACGTCCGTGTAATCCTGGACCAGTAGGGCATATTCAGGGCCTGTGGTTCTGTGAGGCAGGGTTCCTGCAACTCTTTTGGGGAAAAAGGATTCTGTGGCCACATCAGCCTGGCCCTCAGGCACGGTGAAGGACCAGGAAGGACCTTGACTCAGAAGTGTCAAAACTGACCAGCCCCAGCAGCCCCCATGCCCCAGCCTGCGGCCTCTCTGCCTGGTCCCAGGACATCCGTCATGGGTCTCCCAACGGGCCTGTCCGCCACTGTGTGCCGGGTTGGCCTCACTTGGGTAGCAGCTGGCAAGTTGACATAACTCACACAGGCCCCATGTGCCACACAGAGCTGGCTCGGGGGCCAGGCAGGTGTCTGAACTTCTCCTGGAGTCTGACTCACCAGAGCAGACGTCTGCCAAGGACCCTGCTTGGTCAGCATGCAGCCATCTGGAGGGAGGGCCCAGAGCTCATGGCTGCCGCCACTGGAGACAAGAGGGCGGAGCACTCAGGGAGGCAGCCCACGGTCTATGGACTGGGTTGTGGGTTGTGGACTGTGGGCTGTAGGGTGTGGACTGTGGGCTTTGAGGTGTGGCCTGTGGTCTGTGATCTGTGGCCTGTAGGCTGTGGCCTGTGGACCGTGGGCTGTGGACAGCAGCCTGTGGACTGTGGGCTGTGGACTGTGGGGTGTGGGCTGTGGCCTTGGACAAGTTGCTGCACATCCCCATCATGAGTACCCATGGCAATGAGGAGTACCCATGGCGATGAGGACCCATGGCAATGAGGAGTACCCATGGCAATGAGGAGTACCCATGGCGATGAGGACCCATGGCGATGAGGAGTACCCATGGCGATGAGGACCCATGGCGATGAGGAGTACCCATGGCGATGAGGACCCATGGCGATGAGGAGTACCCATGGCGATGAGGAGTACCCATGGCGATGAGGACCCATGGCGATGAGGAGTACCCATGGCGATGAGGAGTACCCATGGCGATGAGGACCCATGGCGATGAGGAGTACCCATGGCGATGAGGAGTACCCATGGCGATGAGGAGTACCCATGGCGATGAGTACCCATTGCGATGAGGAGTACCCATGGCAATGAGGAGTACCCATGGCGATGAGGAGTACCCATGGCGATGAGGAGTACCCATGGTGATGAGGACCCATGGCGATGAGGAGTACCCATGGCGATGAGTACCCATGGCGATGAGGAGTACCCATGGCGATGAGGAGTACCCATGGCGATGAGGAGTACCCATGGCGATGAGGACCCATGGCAATGAGGAGTACCCATGGCAATGAGGAGTACCCATGGCGATGAGGAGTACCCATGGCGATGAGGAGTACCCATGGCGATGAGGAATACCCATGGCGAGGAGTACCCATGGCGATGAGGAGTACCCATGGCGATGAGGAGTACCCATGGCGAGGAGTACCCATGGCGATGAGGAGTACCCATGGCGATGAGGAGTACCCATGGCGATGAGGAGTACCCATGGCGATGAGGAATACCCATGGCAAGGAGTACCCATGGTGATGAGGAGTACCCATGGCGATGAGGAGTACCCATGGCGAGGAGTACCCATGGCGATGAGGAGTACCCATGGTGATGAGGAGTACCCATGGCGATGAGGAGTACCCATGGCGAGGAGTACCCATGGTGATGAGGAGTACCCATGGCGATGAGGAGTACCCATGGTGATGAGTACCCATGGCCAGCTCATGGCGTATAGTGGACTGCTGTGCCTGGCACTCAGGGCAGGCTGGAGCAAGTGCTGTGCTCATCACCATGGCAGCATTGCAGCGGGGCCCGGAGGGTCTGTGGCCATCACTCAGAGACGCCCCGGCTCCGTGGAACAGGCACAGGGCTGGACCACGGAAGTGCCTGAGCCGAGACAGGTGGGATCTGCGGTTTCCACCCTGGAGGGGAAGCTTGCTCACAAGGAGAGGGAAGCCTCAGTGTGTGGCTGTGGCCTCGAACCTCATCCCTATGAAGAAGGAGGGATGCCCTGGAGAGGGCGGAAGGGCCGGGGAGGGCACAGCCCGGCTGGTGGGGTCTGCAGGGAACCACAAAAGGTGGACAAGGCCCGGCAGGTGGGCAAGCCTTAGCCAGAGGTGGGAGGAGAGGAGAGGACCCCATGCCAGCCTGAGCAGCGTGGGGGTGCCCGGAGGCTGCAGCCCACACTGGATTCCATCTTCTCTGTGAGGAGCAGTTGGGAAGGGCTCGAGAGGTGCTTGGCTGCCTCAGAGTCAGGCCGCGGTGAAGGGAGGCGCCTTTTAGGGTGCTGAGGACTCGAGCTGAGACTGTGGGACGAGGCAGAGAACTCAGCTTCAGCAAACTAGACATATGTGAGCCTGGTGTGGCTTCCAGGCACGAACCTAGAGTAGGGGTGTTTGTGAGTGTGAAAGCACTGAGCCTAGAGATCTGCCTTGACGTTAGCAAGACACCAACAGATGTGCGAGCGAGGCTCCAGGCTCCATCGCTCCCTGATCCGCTGGCGGAGCCAGAACACAGAGCGTGGAGTGGAAAGTGTGTTTTGAATTTAGTAAAGTGTTGGGAAGCAGCCACTCAGATACTCTCGTGGACAGAGCTGATGGCTGGACACACATGTGATCTGCTTTCCCTCCTGAAGTCCCGGGACAGGGGCAGTGAAGGGATCTCGCTAAAAGTACAAACCCACGTGCTCAAAGGAGGGTGTGAGCGGCAGCGTCATGGCAGCTGGAAGACTGATGATGGGTGAGGGGAGCCGGCAGCTGACACAAGGAAGCAGAATGCTAAGCTGCTGCCAGAGCCCTGAAGCTGCACAGAACTGTCAGTGCCCAGTGCCTGGTGTCCGTGCAAAGGTGACCTTGGCAGATGAATGACTGCATGAGAGCAGCTGCACACAGAGCTGTCCCTCCGCCCTCTGTCCTGTGACGGTCCCCACAGCTGTGCCCAGACCCGTCCCTCCATCTGAGACAGTCCCTGCGGCTGTGCCCAGACCCACCCCTCCATCCCGAGACAGTTGCCACGGCTGAGCCCAGACCCGTCCTTCCATCCCGAGACAGTCCCCATGGATGCGCCCAGACCCGTCCCTCCATCCGGAGACAGTCCCCGCGGCTGCACCCAGACCCATCCCTCCATCCCAAGACAGTCCCCGCGGCTGCGCCCAAACCCGCCCCTCCATCTGGAGACAGTCCCCACGGCTGAGCCCAGACCCGTCCCTTCATCCTGACACAGTCCCCGTGGCTGCACCCAGACCCGTCCCTCCATCCCGACACAGTCCCCCAGTCCCCGTGGCTGAGCCCAGACCCGCCCCTCCATCCCGACGCAGTCCCCCAGTCCCCGCGGCTGCACCCAGACCCGTCCCTCCATCCCGACGCAGTCCCCCAGTCCCCGCGGCTGCACCCAGACCCGTCCCTCCATCCCGACACAGTCCCCCAGTCCCCGTGGCTGAGCCCAGACCCGCCCCTCCATCCCGACACAGTCCCCCAGTCCCTGCGGCTGCACCCAGACCCGTCCCTCCATCCCGACAGTCCCCCAGTCCCCGCAGCTGAGCCCAGACCCGCCCCTCCATCCCGAGACAGTCCCCGCGGCTGAGCCCAGACCTGCCCCTCTATCCTGACACAGTCTCTGCAGCTGAGACCAGACCCATCATCCCATCCTGAGGCAGTCTCCGCGGCTGCACCCAGAGCCGTCCCTCCATCCCGAGACAGTCCCCGGGGCTGAGCCCAGAGCCATCCCCCCATCCCGTGACAGCCTCTGCGGCTGCGCCCAGAGCCCTCCCTCCATCCTGAGTCCCCGTGGCTGCGCCCAGAGCCGTCCCTCCATCCTGCCACAGTCCTGTGGTTAAGGGCCTTCTTGGCAGAAGACTGGGACCGGACCACCTCTCTGGAGAGGACACAGCCATAGCACTCCTGGGTCACCGGACAACTGGAGAACAGGCCGACAGCTGAGGAAAAGGAGAGTGACCGTTGGTTGAGGCTCCCCAGGCCTCCTCTCCAACGTGGTTCCCAGAATGTGGAAGACCCGCCTTGGCATGATCTGACCAGCTCAAGAGGAAAATTCAAAAGAGAATGATGTTGGATTCTCCCCAGTAAAAGAGTCCAGGAAGGCTGCCTCAGTGCAGCTACAGTCAACAAGTCCCGCCCTGTGCCCAGCACTAGAGTGGGCATGGGGCATTTTTGGTTGTCATTTTTGGTTGTCACAGCCTGGGGGTGCTGCTGTCACCCCACAGGCAGAGTCTGGGGTGCTGCTTGGCACCCAGTAACACACAGGGCAGCCCCTCCACAAAGGATTTTCTGGCCCCAAATGTGGAGAGTGCTGAGGCCCCGGGGGGGATGCATCCCCAGAGCATCAGTCCTGCGATTCCTGGAGTGCGTGCCCACCATGGAGGTGACCACCTCTGAACCCGCAATGTCCCTTGCTGGCAGGTTTCATGGCCCCCGAGCTCCTGCAGGGCGAGGAGTACGACTTCTCCGTGGACTACTTTGCCCTGGGGGTCACCCTGTATGAGATGATTGCGGCCAGAGGACCCTTCCGAGCCCGTGGAGAGAAGGTAGGAGGCGGCCGGCAGGTGTCTCTGCAGCCACCTTGGCGCCCTGGCTCTCGATGGGGACGGGGCAGTGATGGGATCGTTACTGGGGCAGACCTGGGAGTTGTTCTGTGGGCCCTGGGGTGGGGAGGGCACAGATTCACGTGCTGGGGTCTTGCTCCTGGGCCATGCTGTTCTGTCTCAGTGGGTGACGCCCCCAGCCCCTGAGGCCTGCAGGTGGAGGGGCTGAGGGATTCCCAGTCACCCTGTGCCCCAGAGCAAGCAGACCCTCCCACCAGACAGCACGCCACCACTCAGCCTCTGAGGGCCCTGTGGGGGCCGGTCCCTCTGGTGCAGACCGGAGGAGGGAGGGCGACTTATCCCACTGTTGCCCCAGACCCTGGGCAGTGGGACAAACCACCTTTTGTGGTTTGGGGTGGAGCTTCATCCCCTGGGGACTGGCGAGGCTGAGGCTGGGGCTCTGGGGGACACGGAGTCGGCTCCCCCTCCCTGGACGGTCTTATCCATCGCTGTTGCAGAAGAGCAAGCTCCCCTTCTTCCCAGACACCAAGAACCCACAGCCCATGGTGGGCCCAGCAGCTGCTCTGAATGTCCCGGAGTGTGGACACCTAGTGGGGCTGCTGGGTCTCCCCTGAGTGCCCCCTGGGCTGCCCCGGATCCTAGGCCACCAGAACTGCAAATAGGGATAACATTGGGAGGTGCCAGTCCCTTATTCAAGACAAGTGGAGAAAAGCTGGCTTTTTCCCTGTGAGGCTGACTCAGAGCTCAGGGCTGGGGCTGCCTCTCGTTGGACGGAGGGGGTGGCCGCACGGAGCCAGAAGGCCACCGTCTCAGAGTTGCATCAGGCTGCCTTGAGGTGCGGCTCTTCCCTGGCCACCCATCGCCCCCTCAATGCCACCTGGGCGATGCCCACCCCTCTCCCTTCTGACTTCCCTGGACATGTGACCTGTCCTGCCAGGACAGGTTTCAGAGCAGAGTCGTCCCAGGACCACTAGCACGCCCGTGGTCACTCTGTGTCTGTGGGACGTGGCACAGGCGTGGGCTGCCAGGGCAACCCGTGGGAGTAGCGTCAATGGCCTGATCCGGGGGCCTTGGGGACTGAGCAGCACCCTTCACACTGTACCCACTGGTGGGGCCTCTGATGGGGAAGTGAGACCTTGGCAGCACTCCTGAAGACAACAGAGCCACCGAGGCTTCCGTCCACCGTGGTGGAGTGAAAACGGAGGCTGCTTCTCAGCTGGGCCCGCGCTGGCCTTCAGTTTCCTATCTTTCCTTCCTTGGTGGGTGCGGCTGTGCTGGGGGTGGGTCAGCCAGAGTCCCCAAAATGCACGGCACCCACCTGTGGCTCCTGGGAGCTTCGCCTTTAGGATTCCATTCCTGAGACTGGAGCCTCAAACGCTGCTGTGCTGGGGAGGGGCACAAGGCCTCATGGGTCCCCCACCCGCGTGGGTGAGCGGTGGCTCTTGTGGGAGGAGCTGTGGTCTGGTCTGACCACCCAAGAGAGGCGGGTCTGGCAGGGCTAAGGCTACGCGTGTCCCCACAGGTGGAGAACAAGGAGCTGAAGCACCGGATCATCTCAGAGCCCGTGAAGTACCCTGATAAGTTCAGCCAGGCCAGCAAGGACTTCTGCGAGGCGCTGCTGGAGAAGGACCCGGAGAAGCGCCTGGGGTTCAGAGATGAGACCTGCGACAAGCTCCGTGCCCACCCCCTCTTCAAGGACCTTAACTGGAGGCAGCTGGAGGCTGGTACTGTTGGACGCCTCAGCCCCGGAGAGGGTGGGGTTCTGTGCTGTGTGGCCCTTGGGTGTCCGCCCGGTCCAGCCTGTGAGAGTCGGCAGGGAGGAGTGCCTCAGACCCCCAAGGCTCTCCCTCTGCCCCCAGCAAGGCCCCCAGTCCTCCACTCATCATCCCAGCCCCAGGACAAGCCGATGGAGCCGGCATCGGGCCAGAGGGCTCTGGGTGCAATGGGAGGCAGGAAACACACTGGCCGCACTGGGGCCTCGAGACCCAAACCTTCCACCACGTCCCCTGGTGCTGGAGGGAGCCCAAGATCAAATGGAGGCCAGTGGCTCAGGCCGTCTGCCGGGGAGAAAGTCATCCACCCACCAGCACTTGCTTGACAAGTGGATGCGGAAGATACTATGTGCGCGCGTGTGTGTATGTGTGTGCACGTGTGTGTGCATGTGTGCGCGTGTGTGCATGCGTGTGCGCGCACGTGTGTCCATGTATGTGTATGTGTGTGCATACGTGTGTGTGCATGTGTGCGCATGTGTATGTGTGTGCATACGTGTGTGCTCATGTATGTGTGCATACGTGTGTGTGCGTGTGTGCACGTGTGTGCATGTATGTGTGCATACATGTGTGCGTGTGTGCGCACGTGTGTGTGCGCGCGTGTGTATGTGTGCATACATGTGTGTGCGTGTGTATGTGTGTGCATACGTGTGTGCATGTGTGTATGTGTATCTGTGTGCATACGTGTGTGCGTGTGTGTGCACGTGCGTGTGCATGTGTATGTGTGCATACGTGTGTGCGTGTGTGCATACGTGTGTGCGTGTGTGTATGTGTGCATACAGTGTGCGTGTGTGCATGTGTGCATACGTGTGTGCGTGTGTGTGCATACGTGTGTGTGCGTGTGTGCGCATGTGTGTGCATACATGTGTGTGCGTGTGCGTGCATGTGTGTGCGTGCGTGTGCGTATGTGTGTGTGCATACGTGTGTGTGCATGTGTGTGCGTGTATGTGTGTGTGTTCATGCACTTTTGCATCTGAGACACAGCCATACCCTCTAGGACCCTGTGGTCAGGTGGAAGGGTCAGGCCACGTGCAGTGTGACTAACTTAGGACAGGGCCACAGGTGACCAGGGAGCAGAAGACCCCCCAAACGAGAAGTCGCTTTCGTATGTTAGGGTCACAGCAGTGACTGCCAGACAGGTGCCCTGGGCAGGCCCAGCGAGGCAAGGATGGCTGTGGTCAGGGAACCCAAGGGGGCTCCAAGGGGTCACAGGATGAGGAGGGGACCCCGCCCGCCCTGTAAGGAAGTCTGAGCCACAGAAGGGTTTGAGCCCAGAAGTGTTGAGGTCAAAGTGAGGCTGAGGAGGAACCACACGGCGGCTGTGCAGTGTCTGCTGGCACTGGGAGGTGGTCCTGAGGCCGTCACAGAGGCCGTCTGGGGGCCAGCATGGGCCAGCCGGGTCAGGGTCGGTGCACCGAGAGGAGAGTGATGTCTGTGACCGGCTGTGCCTGGCCATCGGGGGCCGGTGCGTCAGGGAGGGACGCTGGTTGGAAGGAAGCTGCCAAGTTCACTGGAGCGTGTGCTTGAGTGCCTGGGGTCTGGGGTCTGCAGAGTGCGCAGGGGAGGCCCTGGTGGGGATGGGGCCCCAGGGGAAGGCGTGTTCGGGGAGGAGACCGCTTCATGACGAGACCCTAGGGGAGGCTCCCAACAAGGCAGATGTGAGCGCCAGGTCCTTTCACAAGAAGGCTCCAAAATGAGCCCTGGGATCTCAGGCTTCTTCCGGCCCCACTCAAGCCCCAGCTGTGTGGTCTCAGGGGAACCCAGGGGCCTTCTGGGAACACTGGGCTTTCTCTCTCAGCCTCCACGACACTTCCCTAAGGAAGAGCGGCCCCAGGCCTTTGTGCATCTGGGAGCCATGGGGGAGGGGGCTTTTTGGCTAAACGGCGCTTCCTTCCCACCACGAGGAGCCTGGCGTCTGTGTTTTCTGTCTCCCACAGGGATGCTGATGCCCCCTTTCATCCCAGACTCCAAAACTGTCTACGCAAAGGATATTCAGGACGTGGGTGCCTTTTCCACCGTCAAAGGTGTGGCCTTTGACAAAACAGACACAGAATTCTTTCAGGAATTTGCCACTGGCAACTGCCCCATCCCCTGGCAGGAGGAGATGATCGAGACGGGCATCTTTGGCGAGCTGAACGTGTGGCGCTCGGACGGTCAGATGCCGGACGACATGAAGGGCATCTCCGGGGGCTCCAGCTCCTCGTCCAAGTCAGGGATGTGTCTGGTTTCCTAGGTGACGCCCCAGAGTCCACGTGGAGGAAAAGGACCCATACGGCTCGATGGGGGCCGCCTGCCTCCGTGGTGCCAGCCTGGGGTCTGCTAGCAAGGGGACACGTGGTTCCCTCCACCCAGGTCCCCATCACGCCATCTCCTTGCGGCCCAAGGAGGAGAAAGCCCACATCGGCCTGAGCCGCCAGACGCACATGCTGGTGCCGTGAGCCCCCGACTGCATATTTCACGTCTTTTGCTCCATCTCACTGAGAAGACATAAGATGCTCTCCAGAGGGAGTAAGCCAAAAATCTACAAACTCTTAGGGAGCCTCCTGCATTGGTGATTGACCAACCGTGTGGTCAGGGGCAGAGACTCGGTTTTGGCCTCCCAAGACCTTAGCCATTGGCTTCCCAGAGCCACGCTCCTCAGCGGGAGGTGCACGGTGGCCAGGTCAGGGGTCAGTGAACCCTGGCCGCAGCCCCTGGCCCCACTGGGGAGGGCTGGACCTCGCCCCCCCCAGGTCCCTCTGTGCAGGCTCCTGACTTCCAGGGTGCCCGGGCCCTGTGCTGGTGGCCTGCACGCCACATGGTCCCCTGCACCCTGCGGCGCCGTGGTCCTCTGCACACTGGGGCACCATGGTCCCCTGCACTCCGGGGTGCCATGGTCCACATCTGCCAGGCGCAGGCTCTGTTGGGCTGTTGGGAGGAGGGGAGCGGGTGTGGAGTCTGGGGGTCTCAGTGCATCTTGGGGTCTCCTTATCTCAGGGTGTCCAGCTGACGGCAGCTGGTGCAAAGTTCCCACCCCTGAGCTGGGGAGCTGAAAATGTTTTCTGTCTTGACCCTGAGTCCCGGAAGCACCTCAGCTGCTCTTGGCGGGCAAAGCCAGGACCGTTTGCTCTCTGACCCTCCTCCCCACTGGGGCTGGTCCGTCTCATCTCCCAGGGGACACTTCAGGCCACGGGCCTTGTGCATAGGGACAGAGCTCCTTGCTGCAACCCCTCTCTGTGTTCCCAGTAGCAGCAGCACTGGAGTCCTAAAGCCATAGCCCGGGAAGACACTCACAGCCCACCTTCTCATACAGCTCGGCCCCACCCACAATGCACCTGGCATTTCCAACTGCACTTTGAACACTGAAGGTTCCCCAAATGCTTTGTGTGTTTTAACTGCAGGAAGTTAGTTCTGTTGCAACTGCCTCCAGGACACACTCCCTCTTGAGGGCCGGCGGTGCTGGCCTGGGTTCCATGGCCTCAGCAGCCGGCTCAGAGGGAGTGCATCCAAGCCGCAGGGAAGCAGTGGTGATGGGCGGCCTGAGGACTCCTTTCCAGAGAGGGCCTCTGAGCTCCTTTTAGGAAAGAACTTCCTTTGAGCCCCGGCCACTGTTGTACCAGTGGGAGAAGAAGCCTGACCCTGCCACATGTGGTCACGGGGAGAGAAGATGGTAGGACGTCCCCGTGAGCCTTGGGGCAGAGCTGGTGGTAGAAAGAAGCCCTGTCTACTCTAATTTGGTGAGAGGGGCCGCGGCAAGTGGCTGATGATGTGACTGATGGAGACAGGGTGGCTTGGGAAGGTCCCACTTGGGGGTGTCACGTCCTGCAGGGAGTGGAAGAGATGGATCCTCCGTAGCCTGGACTGGTGGGTCTCGGCCTCTCTCCCAGAAATGGCAGAGACAGCTGCCTGAGAGTCAGTGCTGCAGTGGGCAGGGCCTATGCCCTCACAGTCCTCAGGCTGCCAGGTCGTCCTCTTCCTGTTGGGGAGAAGAGGACCCTGGCAATCCACAATTTTGGAGATTTGCTGGCTGCAGCCAAAATGGGGACCCAACTCCCTCCTATGTGGTTTTAGAGCTTCTGGAGGGAAGATAGGCCACGCCCCTGGGTGAGGAGCACGTCTTCCCACAGATCCTAAGTCGGCCACACCCTGGGTGAGGAGCACGTCTTCCCATAGGTCCCACGTCAGCCACACCCTGGGTGAGGAGCACGTCTTCCCATAGATCCCACATCGGCCACACCCTGGGTGAGGAGCATGTCTTCCCATAGATCCCACGTCGGCCACACCCTGGGTGAGGAGCACGTCTTCCCATAGATCCCACATCGGCCACACCCTGGGTGAGGAGCATGTCTTCCCATAGATCCCACGTCGGCCACACCCTGGGTGAGGAGCACGTCTTCCCATAGATCCCACGTCGGCCACACCCTGGGTGAGGAGCATGTCTTCCCATAGAACCCACGTCGGCCACACCCTGGGTGAGGAGCACGTCTTCCCACAGATCTCAACAGAACTCCACATCGTCTGGTTTTGTGGAGACTTTCATATGTCCTGTCAAGTTGCCTCATGCACCTGCAGACTGTTCTTGGGAAGCAAACCTGGACTGCAAAATAAACCTCCCGGCCTCCTCCTGTCCTGGCTCTGAGCGTCTGACACTTCTGAGACCTGGGATGTTCAGGAGGAGCTGTGGGGCGTCCAGTGCTTTTTGACATAAAACTACCCATCCAGGTGCACCTGAGCAGGCGCAGGCAGGCACAGGAGGAGGCCCGTGGGAAGCGGCCTGCAGGACAGATTTCCGTGCCCACTCTTTCTCCTTCCTTCCTTCCTTCCTCCTTCCCTCCCTTCCTTCTCTTTCTTTCTTTTCTCTTCTCTTCTTTCCTTCTTTCCTTCTCTTTCTTTCTCTTTTTCTTTTTTTCCTTTCCTTTCCTTCCTTCTTTTCTTTCTTTCTTTCTTTCCTTCCTTCCTTCCTTCCTTCTTTCCCTCCCTCCCTCCCTTTCTGTTTCTTTTCTTTTCTTTTCTTTTTGAGACAGATCTCTCTCTGTCACCCAGGCTGGAGTGCAGTGGCACAATATCAGCTCACTGTAACCTCTGCCTCCCGAGAAGCTCAGGTTCAAGCAATTCTCCTGCCTCAGCCTCCCGAGTAGCTGGGACTGCAGGTGCCTGCCACCATGCCTGGCTAATTTTTTGTACTTTTAGTAGAGATGGGGTTTCACCATGTTAGCCAGGATGGTCTTGATCTCCTGACCTCGTGATCCACCCGCCTCAGCCTCCCAAAGTGCTGGGTTTTTGTATTTTTAGTAAGAGATGGGGTTTCACCATGTTGGCCAGGCTGGTCTTGAACTCCTGACGTCAGATGATCCGCCCGCCTCGGCCTCCTGTTTTGTTTTCTAGAATGTTACACATCGATTAGGTAATGGCTATCAGTCTCACTTCATACACTCTGGAACATGAAAGACTCCATTTCTGATTTTTTAAACCCATTTTAACCTGCCTTGCATTCCTATGGCCCTGGACAGGTAAGCAATCTCATCCTGGCTTCACTGGGATCAGGGGGCTTGGAGGGGCTATGAGTGGTCGCAGCAGTGGAGGGAAGCCTGGCTCCCGGTGCCAAAGAGCCCCGTGGCCCCCCCAGGCCCACCAGCAAGACCCTCTGCCTGTTTTAGGGCTGGGTTGCCAGACACGATACAGGACATCCCAATGAATTTCAATTTCAGATAAATAAGGAATCATTTTTTAGTGTAAGTCTATCCCATGCAGTGTTTGGGACATACTTGACCTAAAAAATGATTCATCATTTTTCTGAAATTCAGATTTAATGGGATGTTCCGCAGTTTTCTTTTGGTTAACTCTGGCAAGCCTGTTGCAGATTATATATTTATCTGTAAGATCAGCAGTGGTTCCACTGCACAGGCAACCTGTTGGGATAAAACCACAAAAGCAGCTTCGTTTTTGGCTTCTGCCATCTCTTGGGTCAGTTGAGTGGTGTTTTCACCCCTCGATGAAACTCATGCTCACCCCATGCATTCATACAAGGCATTCGAAAGCCCTATTGTCACTTTATTTTTTATTTATTTTTTTTTGAGAAGGAGTCTTGCTCTGTCGTCCAGGCTGGAGTGCAGTGGTGCAATCTCGGCTCACTGCAAGCTCCGCCTCCCGGGTTCACGCCATTCTCCTGCCATAGCCTCCCAAGTAGCTGGGACTACAGACGCCCGCTGCCATGCCTGGCTAATTTTTTGTATTTTTCAGTAGAGACGGGGTTTCACCGTGTTAGCCAGTATGGTCTCGATCTCCTGAGCTGGTGATTTGCCGGCCTCGGCCTCCCAAAGTGCTGGGATTACAGGCGTGAGACACGGTGCCCGGCCTCTTGTCACTTTATTTTTAAAAACTTCTAAATCTTTGTGTCCCATGGAGAAAATACATCACGAATGCTGAGTCAATGATCCTACGGAGACACCCCGGCGGGCCCTGCCCAGTTCTGGAGCTCTGACACTGCCTGCCCCCGCCTGTTTGCTCCCCACCCAGGCAGCACCAGCCTCCTCTCAGGGGCTCAGTGTGCGTGGCCCCATAATGGTCACAGCTCCACATGCGATGAGCTTTGGTGCCTCCGTTCCCGCGGGGCTGCAGTGTCTGACGGTGGCGGTGCATGTGTCTCATGCCCACCTGCCTGCAGAGTGGCCCTGCTTCCTGTGGCCAGCCTCGGCCTCTGGCTCTTCAGGGCTGAGCTGGGATGAAGGAAGGCATCCAGGGCTATTCTTGCCTGCCTGGTGCTGCTGCACGTGGCTCGGTGCCCTCCGGGCAGATGTCTCTATGGACTCTTCATCTGGGCCCTCTGTTGTGGGCAGTCTTGGGGTTTCAGGCCCCTGAATCTGGGCAAATACTCTCTCCTCAGCGGGGACGACCCCCTGCTGCCCTCCCTGGGCTCTCTCTCGGTGCTGCCTGGACCAGCAACACCCCGCTCTGCTGCCCAGGCAGCCGTCTGGCCGGTCTGGGTTTGTAATCTCCCTTGGGGTCAGCAAAGGATGGGACTGCACATCAAGAGGCCCAGGCATCTGGGCATCTGGCTGCAGTGAGGCAGGCATAGGTGCACCCTCTGCAGAGAAGCTCTCAGCTTCAATCCTCTTATCCTCAATGTAGGCCACGGCCCCCTCAGAAGCCCATGGGAATCCCTGCAAGGTGGCTTTGTCTCATCTGCGGAGTTGGCTGATGCGATCGGCTCATGCTGGGGCCAAAAACATGGCAAGAAACGTCCCACTGTCAACCTCCCGGGCAAGCGTGTGCACCTGCAGCTCAGGGCCAGCCCACCACACTGCCTTAGTGACACTGCAGCCGGGGGAGCCACAGGCCGCCAGCAGGCTGAGGAACAATGCCGTGTGACCTTTCCTTTTGTAAAAAACAAAAACTGCAATTTTTATTCAAATAAAAAAAGGGTAAAAATAAAAGTTAATAAGGAAGAGTGAGTCCCTGGATTGTGATATGATTTCCAAGTCACATACTTTCCTTCAGAATTACACACAGGTGCACACATGCGCACACACACACACCTCTACACACATACATGCATGCGACATGCCTTCATTTTCATCTCCATGTAGCTGGCAGACGTCAACATTGTCGGTCAGGGCTGAGTCCCCAGCGTCTGCACTTGCTCACGCGTCCTCCTTGTTGCAGTGAGCACCGGGAGCTTCACCCACATTCACACTGGCTCAGGGCTGTCCTGCGGGAGCTGCCTGCTTTCCCTCTGCCTCTGGCCTCCTCCCCTGGAGGAGAAACGGCTGGAGCTGCAGGCATCTCTCCCGTCCCCTCTGCGCTGCGGTGGTGCTAGGCACTCCCATGAGGGCTGGCAGAGAGAAGGAAGCCAGGGCTTCCCAGGAGAGACCGTGGAGCTCAGCATGGATGCATGAGAGGCCGTGGAGCTCAGCGTGGATGCAGAAGAGGCCGTGGAGCTCAGCATGGATGCATGAGAGGCCGTGGAGCTCAGCGTGGATGCATGAGAGGCAGTGGAGCTCAGCGTGGATGCAGAAGAGGCCGTGGAGCTCAGCGTGGATGCGTGAGAGGCCGTGGAGCTCAGCGTGGATGCGTGAGAGGCCGTGGAGCTCAGCGTGGATGCAGAAGAGGCCGTGGAGCTCAGCGTGGATGCGTGAGAGGCCGTGGAGCTCAGTGTGGATGCCTGAGATGCTGTGGAGCTCAGCGTGGATGCGTGAGAGGCTGTGGAGCTTAGCGTGGATGTGCCTATGGGGCCAGCTGGCCTCTGGGGAGGGCCGTGCCAGAGACAGCCTTGCAGGAAATTTGGGGCCGGTTCTGATAACTCCAGCAAGGGCTGCAGGCTCAGCACTTCTTATTTTATTCCTTTACTCAACTATTTATGATATTGTCAGAGTGGCGGTTCTTTCTTTTTTCCTGTCTGCGGTCTGTGGGTTTGCTGAGTATGGAATTACCTCAATGTGAGCTCCACCACAGCGAGTCCTCGAAAAGCTGGCAGTCTCTGGCTGGGGCCCATTGTGTTTTGTTTTACAATGGGGGTCTGTCCCCTCTGTGAGTGTTTAGACACGTAAATGGGCCTCAATTGCAAATAAAATGTACAGATTACAGGCATTATGCCAGTCAATGGAAGAGCAGTTTTGAAAGAAAACCTCAATCTGATAACATGAAATTACAAATAAATATGAGATTGGTTCTCAGTTTCTATCTAGGCAATTTAAAATGGATATAAGAAGCCTTGATTTGATTTTTAAAAAACCAAGCCCCAATCCCCCAATTACAGTAGTGAAATGTTCTTCCAAGTTCAACCTTTTTATTTGCAAGACAAATGAGCTGAAGGCTGAATGTTACCAAGGGTGAGGCATTGTGCTGGGGTTTGAGGACGACAGCATGGAGAGCGATGTACCTGGCATTCTCCCGCTGGCATGGGTGGGATGGCTCACTGAGCCTCAGCTCTCGGTCCCTGGCATTCTTCGGCTGGCCTTGTGGGGGCGACTGGCTGAGCCTCAGCTCTTGTCCTGTCACGTGGGTCCCAGGAGCCCCACTGCCACCCTGGCCTGTCAGTATCCAATATGCACTGTGTGCTTGGAGGCGAACTGTCCAGCGGGTCTGGTTTCACAACTGCAAAGGGCGTGGCTCTCTCCCTGCAGTGGGGTGATGCAGAGGCTGCTGCACTCTGCACTTTAGAAAAATGCCGCCTAGAACAGGAGGTGCTGGTGAGCCGCCGTTGCCCGGCTCAGGGCTGCGAGAGGGTGGGCTTCAGGCTTCCCGGGGGGTGTAATTCTGCCTTTCCTGCTGGGAGCCCTGAAGAGGTCCCCGGTCACATGGTGACAGAGGCCTTCTAGCAAAGTGCAAGGAGTGTGTTTAATTTTTAAAAATTCATGTCTCTGGGGGCACCTCCTGTCCCCTTCCTGCCCTCACCCCACACCCTGTACAGACAGGCGGGGCGGCCCCTCCCGCTCCCTCATGGCTCGGCTTACGTTATTCATCCCCTGCTCCATTTCATGGGCATTTTGTTACAGGAAGGGTCATGTTTTGCTGCCAGCACTACTGATCCCTGAGAGCTGAGAGCCAGGCCACGTGCACACACGGGTGCCTCAGCAACGACTCCCACCTGAGCTGGGGCCAGGATGCGGAGGCTCTGAACAAACGGGAGGAACTGAGCTTCACAGTTCACGTAACTGCCACCTTCTTAGAGCCCACGTCATTGTCTGAGTCTTGTTGACTCACATCTGCTCAAGCCAATGGGTATTCCCAGCAGTCAGGCCCCCGTGGGTCCCCCATGTCCTCTGCCCAGCGGCCGTGGTGGGTATGGGTAGGAGAAGACCAGGCGTCCCCGTGGCCTCGGCCCAGCAGGTGCTGGTCTGAGTTTGGCAGTTTGGCCTGTATGGTCCTCCTGCAGCTTTTGTTCAGGGAGTGCCTCCTGTGAGAACTGGGGCGAAGGTCCCTGCCCTCAACGAGCTTCTTTTGAACTCAGTAGTGCCTCGGCCACCACACCCCCAATTCCTCCTGCCCTGCTTTTATGCAAAAAAGCCTCAGCTTTTGACTCTTAGAGCTCCAGGGGAGGCCCATTCCCTTGGCAGGTCCCAGCAGCTCCTTCCCCCAACAGGGCTGTGTGGTTGGGGAGGCCCCTCTCCCCAGGTGGAATCAAGGCTAATCGCCTGCCCTGATGGCCCTATCGGGTGAGTCTGGAATCATCCTGATCATTTTTCTGGAGGCTGCATGTACCTTCTTCCTCTGCTTCCTCCCCTGTTCCAGTGGGGGCCAGTAGAATCTGGGGCTCTAGGGAGGGGTCCGTGTGGGAGCTCCAGGCAGGTCTTTCTGTTTTGGTTTCTCCAAAGTCTAAACCCTAAGGAGAAAGAAGCAGGGAAAGAGGAAGAAGGGGATTCACAGGCCTGCGCAGAAAACTAGGAAGGGCTTCCCTGGGGAGGACGGGACGGAGAGAGGGTGGCAGAGCTGGAGCAGGTGATCTCAGCGGCTCCCCAGCCAGGCCTCACTGCAGACTTGGGGGCGCAAGCACCGGACCACACAGCACGCCCACCCTCACTGTGGCCGGAAGATCAGAGGCATGCTGGCCGTGAAAGGCTGCCTGAGCCCCACAGTGGACACTGTGGCAAGTGTGGACCAATGGCCGATGTCTCAGCCCCACCCACTCCGGCCACCACGACACTGCACAGCCTGGACCCAGGCCAGTCCCTGTGTGAGCGTGTGTGCTTGGTGGCGTGTGTGTGCAGGCCTTGTGTGTGTGAGCATGTGCACTCTCAGTAGTGCGTGTGTGAGCGTGTGCATATGTGTGGGGGCGCCTGTGTGTGTGAGGGAGGCCCACGAGGTTGGCAGGCAGACAGGGGTGGGGGTGGGAGGAGAGGCACTGTGCCCTAAGACCAGCCTTGGGAGGGTGGGAGGAGAGGCGCTGTGCCCTGGTGTCTGGGGCCTGGGCCTGCCCCTCCTGGAGCTTGGGGTGGGTACTGGACGGGTTCTGGGACAGGGCGTCTTCCTGGTACTCATGCTGGAGAATCTACTGTGGGCCGCAGGAGGAAGAGGAGCTGCGATGAGGTGTTGCCAGGGCCAGGATTAGGGTTAAGGTTAGGGTTTGCCCCAGAGCCTCCTGGAATTCTACCCACTCAGCACCATCCTCCAAGGCCTGACAAATGCAGCCTCTGCCTGGAACCACTGTGGACCCCCAGGGAGTGGCTCACCAGCTGCTCCTCTCTGCCCCCCGGGGAGTGGTTTCACCTGCTGCTTCCCCAACCTCAGGGAGTGGCTCACCTGCTGCTCCTGTCCGCCCCCCCGGAGAGTGGTTTCACCTGCTGCTCCCCCCACTCCAGGGAATGGCTCACCTACTGCTCCCCTCCACTGGGAGTGGTTTCACTTGCTGCTCCTCTTCGCCCGCCCCCAGGAGTGGTTTCACCCACTGCTCCCCCCCGAAGGGAGTGGTTCACCCACTGCTCCTCCTGCTTGCCTGGGAGTGGTTTCACCAACTGCTCCTTCTCCCCCCAGGGAGTGGTTTCACCTGCTGCCCCTCCGCATCACCCCAAACTCACCCGCTGCTCACCCCCACCACCCCCTGCAGGCCTGGCTACTTAGAGAACCACCTGGGGAGCTTCAAACATCCACCCCCTCCAGCGACTGATGTGCGGGGTCCGGCTGGCCTGTGTCCTGAGTATCTGGGTCCTTAGCCCCTGGGGGACCCTCAGGCGAGGCCACGGTTGACAACCCCCTGCCTGATGTGTTGATCGGTCAGTGAGCTCCTGGTCTGCACACGGGCCGGCCACATCCTGGACTTCCCCGTGAATTCTCCAGCAGGGCAGCCGTGTGGTGGGATGCTGTCACCGCTGTCTGCTTTGTCTCATCGTCTGTTCCATTTCTCTTGCTTCTTACTTCAACTGTGGATTCTTACAGGGCAGAACTGCACGAGTCATCTTTGCACCTTGTCTAGTGTCCTGCACGTAAGGAAATCCAATACATGTGTGTTGACTGAAAGATTAACTTAAAAGTGTACATACAGATAAATGCATGCTTTCCCATTTGGAAGATGTGGTTATGTTTTGACTCAGACTTACCTGGTTTATATCTTGTTTCTCCCATTAGCTATTTGACATTGAAAAAAGTTACTGAATTCTGCGTGCTTCTGTTTCATCATCTGTGAAATGGGCGCCACATGGCAAGGCTGGGATGAGGCAGAAAGTGAAAGTGGCAGCCACAGCGTGAGGCATACAGTAGGCGCTCCATCCACGCTCATCCCGTCTCCCAAACCAGCCACAGGGTGAGGCATACAGTAGGTGCTCCATCCACGCTCATCCCATCTCCCAGACCAGCCACAGGGTGAGGCATACAGTAGGCGCTCCATCCACGCTCATCCCATCTCCCAGACCAGCCACAGGGTGAGGCATACAGTAGGCGCTCCATCCACGCTCATCCCATCTCCCAGACCAGCCACAGGGTGAGGCATACAGTAGGCGCTCCATCCACGCTCATCCCATCTCCCAGACCAGCCATAGGGTGAGGCATACAGTAGGCGCTCCATCCACGCTCATCCCATCTCCCAGACCAGCCACAGCGTGAGGCATACAGTAGGCGCTCCATCCACGCTTGTCCCGTCCCCAGACCAGCCATAGGGTGAGGCATACAGTAGGCGCTCCATCCACGCTCGTCCTGTCCCCAAACCAGCCACAGGGTGAGGCATACAGTAGGCGCTCCATCCATGCTCGTCCTGTCCCCAAACCAGCCACAGCGTGAGGCATATAGTAGGCACTCCATCCACGCTCGTCCTGTCCCCAAACCAGCCACAGGGTGAGGCATACAGTAGGCACTCCATCCACGCTCGTCCCATCCCCAAACCAGCCATAGGGTGAGGCATACAGTAGGCACTCCATCCACGCTCGTCCCGTCTCCCAGACCAGCCACAGCGTGAGGTGCACAGTAGGTGCTCCATCCATGCTCATCCCGTCTCCCACACCCCAATTTGCCCAAAGCCTTCTGAAGGGTGTGGGAAACTTTCAGGAGTCTCTGTTGTTTCTGGGGCAACATCGGGGCTGTGAAAGGAAAATAAAATCTGGGGACTCCAATTCACCGCCAAAGGAAACCCTTAAAGCTGGAAGCTGAGCCCTGTGAGGAGAGGCCTTTCCTTGTGTTCCTGAGCAGGGAGCTGCCCAGCAAAGGCTCAGCGTCTTCACCAGCAGCTGCTCTGCGTTCCCCTGGCCTAGTGCAAAGTCCGACTTTCTGAGCCCAGGACAAATGCATCATTCACCATTGTCCTGCCTGTTCCTTTCTCCTGCAATGCATGGGTTCAGTCTCGCAACCAAACCTCCCTCTTTCCCCTCCAGCCTGCATTTCCCCTTTAAAATACTGAAACCCTCAAAATCATCTTTGGAGAAAGTCACAGAGCTCTCTCCCATGTGTGCCCTTAACCTTGGCAAATGAACCTCTCAATGGATTGAGGCCTGTCTCTCATGCTTTCTGGTTTACAGGGCCCATGTTCATGTGGAGAAAGTCAAGGTAGGAAACCTCAGGGCACTTTCATTTTCCTCTAGGCAGGAAGGAATCTGGAATTGGGAAGGACAGCAGGCATTTTTTCTAGCGGTTCTAGCGAATTATCTTCTTACCGTCAATAACAATTTATCCAGTCTCTCTAATTATCTTCAGTCCGGCGGAAGACAGATTTCCTCATCTAATTGCCTCTTGGAAGAGCTAAAGTAAATTAAATTTAAAAAAATACCCTGATCCCAGGTGACCGCCCCTGCCAAGCTGATCTGGGATTGCAGGAGAGGCGCTGTGGGCCACCAGCTTGGGGCCTGGGGCAGGAGCGGCTCCAGTGGCCAGATCCTAGCCAGCGTCCCTGCCCTGCAGTTAAGCACACGGGCTTTGGGGGTCCGTCCTGGGCCACAACAACCAACCTCCCAGAGCCTCAGTTTCTCGTCTTTGAAGGGGGACCGTGCTGAGATTGTTCAGGGATGGCTTTGGTTTCTGTTACTGAGGCTAAGGCCGGAGGTCCCGGCTCTCAACATGTTTTGCTCGTGTAGTCCTCAAAGAATTTTCAGAAATGTGCCATGTCAACTTTGCATCTAAAATACTTTTGGTTTAGTTGGAAAGGGCAGCAATGTACTCACATGCCGTTTAATGCATTTCCCACAGAACGGGGATCCACAGACGAGGTCCTTTCATCTCGGGGCTCATGGCAACACAGGCCGTGTGCGTGAGCCTGGTCGGTGCCTGAGTCTGCCCCGGCTCTGCCACTGCCTGCTGTGTGACCCTGGGCTGCTCACGCCACTGCCCGGAGCCTTGGCTTCCTTATCTTACACGGCAGTGGTGACAGCCCCTGACGCAAGGCTGTGGCGAGTTTGAACGTGGCGCCTGGAGCAAGGCTTGGCCGGAGTTCACCAAACAGACAAAGGCGACCTGGCTGGGGAGCCAGTCAAAGCGGTTGGCAGAACCGATCTGGCTTCTGTCAGAATTGTTAGGACGTCGGGAGGTGTCCAGTGATGACCCCTCCCTCTGGGTTCTCCGGCCCTGGCGGCTGGGCATGGATGAGGAGAAGGCTGGGCCCTGTGCGAATCCTCTGGGCACAGAATCCGCCGGGCACAGATTCCGCTGGGCACAGAATCTGCCAGACACAGAATCTGCCAGGCACAGACTCGGCGATTCTCCCCTGGAGCCCGGCCTTGCCCCATGCTGTGACTGCTTCTATGTTTGGGGCCCGAGGGTCACGCAGGGAGAGCTGCACCTCAGGGAGGCTGGGCTGGGGATGGGGTTGGCTCCTCTTGGTGGCAGTCGGGTGGGAAGGGGACGCAGTGGACCTGGGGCCCTGGACTCACCCAGATCTACTGTGGGAGAGATTGCATCTGGAAATCAGGGGTCTGGATGTGATTCCCTTAGGCAATTGCACCACCTGGAAAATGTTCGTACGCCCCCAGCATGGAGGTGTCCAAGACGCTGGGACCCTCAAGGTACTGTTGTGCGTCGAAGCCTAACACACACACGCTTATCCCATTACAGCTCTGGGGGCCCAAGTCTAAAACGGGGCTCACAGGGCTAAGAGGGAGGTGTGAGCAGGGCCACACTGCCTCTCCTGGCTCAGGCAAGAGTCAGCACCCCTGGCTCGCAGCCCTGCCCCTCCCTGACGCTGTCCTGCCATCATGTGGCCTTAGTGTCCTCTCTGGTCACACCTCCCTCCGCCTCCCTCCCTGGGGACCTCGTGGTTACATTCCGTTATCACTTGGACAGTCCCAGATCAGTCCCCGCCTCAAGGCCCTGACCCTAATCCCATCTGCAAAGTCACTGTCTCCGTAGCACGTCAGGTGCCCAGGGACAGGCACGAGATCCTGAGTGTGCTGGGATCTTCACTCAGCCAGGCACCCCCTCAAGCGAGGGACTGAGGAAGGAGTAGTAAAGGCCACCCAGCCACGCGCATAACCACGTTTCTCCCGTAAGATCGCGGTGCTGTGCTTTTACTGTGCCATTTCCAAGCTTGGATGTGTTTACATGCACAAATGCTTACTACAGCTCCTCCAGGGATCGGCGCAGGCACCTGCAGCACAGGTGTGCAGCCAGGGCCACACCGTGAAGCCTGGGCAGGCAGTGGGCCCTGCCCTCCAGCCGTGTGAGTCGCTGCGATGCTTGCACAGCGAGGGGAGCACAGCCATGGGAGCACAGCCACGGGAGCACCTCAGGACGCCTCCCTCAGCCATTGCTGTCCTTAGGCTTCTGTGGGAAGAGACTTAGGGTGTTGGTTCCCACCCTGGGCCCTGTTCTATCCCATTCCTGAGGGCCCAGGGACAGGGCTGTTCCCACGTCCGAGGAAAGCAGCTTCCAGGGGAGCAACGGAGGGGCCTGTCCCTGGGAGGGGCTCAGCCAGGCCGCAGGGACCTCACGAGGAGGCCTGGGATGAGGACACTCTCACCTTCCTCCGCCCCTTCATCTCCTGCTGGTGCCTGACTCTGTGGGCGCCCACGGGGCAGGCTCCGGGCCACTCCAGAGCGCAGGGCGGGTGGAGGAGGAAGGGTGTGGGGGCAGGTGGCGGGAACCACACAGGCCTCAGTGGAGCCGGTGCCTTCATCTCAGAGGTCCTCATGGCAGCACTGTTGCCCCAGGAGGTGTCTGGGGACATGTGTGGGGGTCAGGGTCTTGCTACAGGGCAGGGGCACCATGGGTGTTCGCCGTGGGGCTGGGAGGCAGAGCCTACACCTGGGCACAGTCCTGCAGACCTAGCACCCATGAGCCACGGCCGCCTCGCCTGCCCTCATGCTGGCCTCAGGTGCCCCTCACAGGTTGACACACCCGGCTTACTGTCCCCAGCACCACACTCCTCGGGGATGGCTGCGGCTGGCGTGGGTACTCTCTGCAGCTGTGCTGACCCCACAATGGGGTTGGCTTTGTGGGAGTCGAGCCCCATGTACGTCATCAAGGGCTTCCATGCCCTGGGCTATGTTGCTGCTGGTGGGACTGAGCCCTTGCTCAGACTGTGGGAAGAGCCACTTCAGGCCTCACCCAAGACAGCCCAGAGGCTGGAGTGGCCTCTCCCCACCAGGTCTGTGCAGGTCGGTGCCCCAGAGGCCCCGCTCACACAGGAACAGGGCGGCTGACTCCCTGCACCCCTGGGGGCCCCGTGAGGTGCTTCCTTCGAGGGTCATGGGGTGGAGTGGGCAGAGCACGGCTCCCAGGCGCAGGCCCGTGTGCCTCCCTCCAGCCCCCAAGTGCTCCTGGAAGTTTTCCCGGGGTCTCCACACATCTATTTATGTCTGGCCTGTTTGAAACAGGACCCAGCAGGGCCGTGTCCGGCACCTTGTTTATCTGCCCAGACTCTTCGGGCTGTGCATTTGTTGAAGCGTTGGCATCATTTGTTCCACAGAACAGCAGTTCTTCACGTGTGGTCCTTTGGGTGTTTTCAGGGGGGTCTCCAAGACCAGCACAGTCATCTCGGGCCCCTTGCCTTTTTCTCTGTGTTGACATTCGCGGCAATGGCAGAGGGCTGATGGTGGGACACCTGCTGGTGCCTGGGCCCAGATCAAGGTGGCTTTGAGCTCGTGAGGCTTCTCGCCACCATCGCCAGCAGCATTCGGCAGTGACGTTCCTTGTGATGGAGCTGGAGGTTTGCGCACAGTGCTTTGTGTGTGCCATGTGGGCGTCTGGCAGCCAAGCTGAACCAAGCTCCTTTATTCTTGCAACACCAGTTTCCATGGAACAAACAGCGAACAGCCCTGCATACCCAGGCTTGGGTGTTTTCCTGAAAACAACCAAGTAAGCCCATCCCTGTAAGGAAAACAGCTGGGAGTATCTGGCACCAATGATACAATGTTGAGCTTTCAAATGACAAGAGGAATTTTTGAAAACTTGTTTCTCGCATTGTGAGTGTGACAGCTTCCGAATAATTCTCCACATGACCAGCGTGTGATTCCTCAAAATCATGCATAGGTAAAAGACCCATTCAAAGAGCAAAGGGGGCCAGTGGATTTTCATGAACAAAACTCACGCTCAATGAATGCAGAAAGTTGTCTCCACACACAAGCATTTATGTGTTTGTGAATGTGTGTCTCTGTGTACGTGTGTGTGCATGCCTGTGTGTGCATGTCTGTGTGTGGTGTGAGTGCATGTGCACGTGTGTGCGCATGTGTTTGTGTCTGTGTGTGCATGTTTGTGCAGTGTGGTGTATGTGCGTGTCTGTGTGCCTGCATGCATGTGTACGTGTGTGACTGCGTGTGTGTGCGTGTGTGTGCACGTGTATGTCCATGTTTGTGTGTGTGCATGTGTATGTGAGTGCATGTCTGTGTCTGTGTGGTGTGTGTACATGTGTGCATGCATGTTTGCATTTGCATGTGTGCATATGTGCATGTGTGCATATATGTGCACGTGTGTATGCGCATGCTTGGGTGTGTCTGTACGTGTGAGTGCATGTCTGTGTGGTGTGTGTACATGTGTGCATGCATGTTTGCATGTGTACGCATGTGCACATGTGTGCATATACGTGTGCATATCTGCATATGTGCATGTATATACACATGTGTGTAGGTGCATATTTGTGTGTGCATGTGTGGTTGCATGACTGGTGTGTGTACATGTGTGTGCATGTACATGCGTGCATCTGTGCGTGTGTGCATGTATGTGCACACGTGTGTATGTGCATGTGTGTGTGCGTGTGAGTGCATGTATCTCTGTGTGGTGTGTGAGTACGTGTGCATGCATGTGTGCGTGTGCACGTGTGTGTGCGTGTGTGTGCATGGGCACGTCTGTCTCTGTGGTGTGAGTGCATGTGTGTGCATGGGCATGTCTGTGTCTCTGTGGTGTGTGTGCATGTCTGCGAGTGTGCATATGTCTGTGTCTCTGAGTGGTGGGTGCACACGTGAATCCTCCTCCTTGATGCTAGCTGCTCTTACCAGAGCCAGTTCTTGTGGGGAAGCTGAGTGCTCTGTAACTCCCGTGTCTCAGCTCCCTTGCGTGGCCCCTAGAGGCAGACGTGGGAGGAATGCCGCAGCCTCGGAGAACCAGGTCTGGCATTCTTGGTGCTGGTCCCAGGGTCCCGAGGCCTGCTTTCCACAGTCACGCTGTAGAGACGGCTCCTTGTGGAGACACCTTCTGTGTGCAGGCACGAGGTTTCTCCTCTGCCCCAGGCTTCGGTGCGGAGTGTCTGGGGGGACAGAGCCACCAGATGTGAACGCTGTGCTAGTCGCCCTCTCTGGTCTCTCCCTTGGCGTGGCCAGACTCCCCGGTGCATCTGGACATCGTGGCGGGCAACTGCCATTTACAGACACGGGAGGACGTTTTGCATGACCCGCCTTCTGTGTGTTTTCCCACTCTTTGCAAACCCATTGCTTTTCAGCTCGGAGAGTTGCTTTCCAGTTGTGCCAGCTCCGTGGCTGAGGAGGCGGTTTCTTTCCCGTTGTGCCGGCTCCGTGGCCGAGGAGGCGGTTTCTTTCCGGTTCTGCCGGCTCCGTGGCCGAGGAGGCGGTTTCTTTCGGGTTCTGCCGGCTCCGTGGCCGAGGAGGCGGTTTCTTTCGGGTTCTGCCGGCTCCGTGGCCGAGGAGGCGGTTTCTTTCGGGTTCTGCCGGCTCCGTGGCCGAGGAGGCGGTTTCTTTCGGGTTCTGCCGGCTCCGTGGCTGAGGAGGCGGTTTCTTTCCGGCCGCGCTGGCTCCGTGGCTGAGGAGGCGGTTTCTTTCGGGTTCTGCCGGCTCCGTGGCTGAGGAGGCGGTTTCTTTCGGGTTCTGCCGGCTCCGTGGCCGAGGAGGCGGTTTCTTTCGGGTTCTGCCGGCTCCGTGGCTGAGGAGGCGGTTTCTTTCCGGCCGCGCTGGCTCCGTGGCCGAGGAGGCGGTTTCTTTCGGGTTCTGCCGGCTCCGTGGCTGAGGAGGCGGTTTCTTTCCGGCCGCGCTGGCTCCGTGGCTGAGGAGGCGGTTTCTTTCCGGCCGCGCCGGCTCCGTGGCTGAGGAGGCGGTTTCTTTTGGGTTCTGCCGGCTCCGTGGCTGAGGAGGCGGTTTCTTTCCGGCCGCGCCGGCTCCATGGCTGAGGAGGCGGTTTCTTTCCGGCCGCGCCGGCTCCATGGCTGAGGAGGCGGTTTCTTTCCGGCCGCGCCGGCTCCATGGCTGAGGAGGCGGTTTCTTTCGGGTTCTGCCGGCTCCGTGGCTGAGGAGGCGGTTTCTTTCTGGTTCTGCCGGCTCCGTGGCTGAGGAGGCGGTTTCTTTCGGGTTCTGCCGGCTCCGTGGCTGAGGAGGCGGTTTCTTTCCGGCCGCGCCGGCTCCATGGCTGAGGAGGCGGTTTCTTTCCGGCCGCGCCGGCTCTGTGGCCGAGGAGGTGGTTTCTTTCCCGTTGTGCCGGCTCCGTGGCTGAGGAGGCGGTTTCTTTAAGGTCTTTTCTGTGCTGATGTTTTAGCTTTACTGAGATTTTGTTGCTTATCACACAATTCACCATTGAAGTGTCCTGGGCTGATCTGATGCCGATGGCCTCCGAGTCAAATGCTCTCTAAAGGAAATTCTCAGAAGATCTCCGGGGAAAAGCACACATAATTTATAGAATTAGAAAGCAAAGGATTTGTAAGACATCACAAGGAATTCAGTTACCAGTTAGGACTGGTCACCTCCAAACTTAAGTACAAAGAACTTATTTACTTCTTCCAAGGAAATTTATTTGGGGGATTTTTTATGTGGCCATGATGATGCTGTCAGTGGCCGAAGCTGCATTCTGGCAACTCCAGATCCTGGGTGACTTTGCCTAGCTCTGCCCGGCCTGGTGTTGCAGGAAATACGCTAATTCCAGGCACGGAAGCTGGGAGTGCATCCGGTCTGGGGAGACTTTGCCTTTCTAAGAGGCTCTCAGTGCTGTTGATGGTGCACATTCGACCTTTGAGACTTGGAGAAATCAGATTGCAGAAATGATGCAGAGCACCTGAGCAGAACCAATCTGGCGTGAGACACACACGCACACACACACACAATCAGGCGCACCCACCCACACATATACACACACAGGTACACAGTCGTGCACCCATCCACATACGTGCAGTCATGCACACAGCCCTGCACACAGACCTACACATACACATGCGTGCACACAGACATGCACACACACAGTAGGGGCCCTAAGCAGGCGTCCTTAGCCTTTCTGCTCTGAGCTCTGCAGCATCAGAACCTGCTGCCATAACTGAGCCAAGTGAACTCCTGAAGCAGGAGCATCCCCGGGCGTGGCAGGGGAGCGCCCACCACCAAGATTCTGCTGCTGTGCTCGGGGGCAGTTGTGCCTTTTCTGTTTTTCTTTCTTTCTATATTTCCAGGAAATCATGACATTAAAAATGACTTTTTCTTATGACGAATATTCATTGTAGGATATTTAGTGAAAATTCACACAATAAAAACTGTGATTCGTTTGTGCTCTCCGAGTTTCTGGGTTTCCTTGCATTTTTCTGGCAGCTTCTATTCTCTCTGGGTGCTTCCGATGCACACATCGCAGATCCCAGGATGATCTTCCTGCCTGGCACGGCTGCCTCCTCCACGCCACCCCTCATTACCTGTGGTCTAGGAAGACCACCAGTTCCCATTCCAAGCTGCCCAAATAGCTGCGAAATATCTGCTGAAGTAAGAGGAAAAGGTTCGTTATCTTTATTATCGCTTGTTCACCTTCCAGCCTCCCTGTAGTGAGGGTCCTGTCCTGACACAGTGATCCCTGTGGCAAATTCTATTTTCCCCAAATGACCACATCACCTTTCTATTTCCCACACACAAGGAGAGGCTCTTCCTTCTTCCTTTGAATTTTGTCACCGGGCTGCTGAAGAGAAGGCAGCAGAGGTGACACAGCGTGAAGCTGAGGCTGGGTTGCAGAAGGTGCCACAGACTCCACCCGGCTCTCTCTCTTGCCCAACGTTCCTGGGAGTCCAGCCCCCATGTCATGAGGAAGCCCACGTCACCTGGAGAGGTTACAGGCACAGCCACAGTCAGCCACGCGCCAGTCCTGGGAGCCACCCTAGCTCACCCTGAGTGGAGCAGAGGCAGGGTGTCCACTCCTGGCCTTGCCCAAATTTCAACTCCAACTAAATAAATGTGGTTTTTTAAGCCACTGAGTTATGGGGTCATTTGTCCCACAGTTGTAGTAACCGGAATGACCTCCAAGGACCTGTCCCACTGTAAAGATTGGCAATCCTATGACTTCTGTCTCCTGGACTCCTCCCAAGCCTGAATCCCTTCCCGGACGCTCACAGGTCGCAGCGTATCTTGGGTAACCCCATCCACTGCCCCCATCAAGCCAGCCCCCGACCTGTCTCCTGTTTCCCGGAGCTTGCTCAGAGATAACAGATTCATCCGATCCTCCAGGAAGGGCCCGAGCGGCCTGGCTCCCTGCCCTCCAGCTCTTAGCTCTGTGTGTCTCTCCTTGCGGGAGCCCTCCCTGCGACACCTCCCGCTGCCTCTCAGCGCTGAGCTTAACACGGTGGCATCACCTGGGAGGGCTCAGTCTTTCTGTCTCTTCTCCATCAGCCTCTGAGCTCCATCAGGGCCCCAGGTCAGTGATCACTCCTGTGCTTCCACAGCCCAGCGCCAAGCCCAGCCCTGCTCTGGGCCTGGACAATGCTCAGGACAGGACAGTGTGGGAGTCAGCCCCTGGCCCTGACCCTGGCTCTCGGAGCCAGCGCTGTTGCTTCCCTACCTCACTGGATGTTGCAGGAATGGGTTAGAGATCTGAGGACCACGGAAAGTTAGGGGTGAGGGGAGGATGAACCAGTCATGGGGAACCCCGGTATCTCTGAGTGAGTAGAGAAGGAAGGTGGTGCTGGCGGGAAGGAAGGACAGGTGCTGGCTGTGGGTTCCAGCCACTTCCGAGGTGCAGGCCTGGGGAGAGGAGGCAGGTGGGGCCTGCTCAGGGAGCCCCTGAAGAAGTTCTGAGTTGGCTGTGCTCCAGTTGGCCCCTGCACATTCCCCATGCCAGGCAGGCGCTTTTTCTCCTCTTTAAAAAGGCATTCCCTGAGCCTGGTGGAATGAGACAAACATGGAAATCCCTGGGCTGCTCTCAGTGGTGGAAGAGGTTGGGCACCCTGGCGGCTTAGGGTGGGACTCGGCCTGCAGAGCCAAGCAGGCGCCCTTTTTCCTCCTTTTCTTTTCCTTTCGTCCATTTAATTTTTAAAATATAACAGACTGTGGCCGGGCACAGTAGCTCTCGTCTGTAATCCCAGCACTTTGGGAGGCCCAGATGGGAGGATCACTTGAGCCCAGGGGTTTGACATCAGCCTGGGCAACATGAGGAAACCCCATCTCTACAAAAAGTATAAACCTTAGCTGGGTGTTGCAGCACACGCCTGTGGTCCTAGCTACTTGGGAGGCTGAGGTGAGAGGATCGCTTGAGCCTGGGAGGTGGAGACTGCAGTAAGCTATGATCATGCCACTGCACTCCAGCCTGGGCCACAGAGCCACAGCATGTCTCAAAAAACAAAAAAGTGACAGACTGCAAACAAAGGCACACCTGGGTAGAGGATGCACAGGAGCTCCTTGCACTATCCCTGCAAACCACCTTTAGGTTTGAAAATAGATAAAAATAAAAAGTTACAAAAAAGTAATCATCTATTTTAAACATCCAGAAAAGTATAGAGAATAATATAACATCCCTGTCCACACCATCTAGCCTTAATGGTATCTCAACATTCCCCCTTTTTTTACAAGTCTTTTAACTTTTTTAAAGAAAGAAGATTTCACAAATAGAGTTTAAGCCCCTAGACATAGTTCCAAAGCTGTTCAGCTTGTCCACCCAGACAGAGAATCACAGTTCTGGATGAAGCATGCACTCTCCCCCAGCATGTTCTTCTACTTTACTTACACAGTATCCATGCATCTACACACATGACTCACGGTGTCCATGTATCTGCACACACATGACTCATGGTGTCCATGTATCTGCACACACAAGGCGGTGTCCATGTATCTGCACACGAGACTCACGTCCGTGTATCTGCACACATGAGTCACGGTGTCCATGTATCTGCACACACGAGACGGTGTCCATGTATCTGCACACGAGACTCACGTCCGTGTATCTGCACACATGACTCAACGTGTCCGTGTATCTGCACACAGGACTCACGGTGTCCGTGTATCTGCACACAGGACTCACGGTGTCCGTGTATCTGCAAACATGACTCATGGTGTCCGTGTAATCACCTCCTACTGTTTCATCATATCCTATAACCAGTTTCTCAGCTTCCATTCTGCTATCCTACAACTACTCTCCAGTAATCCTATGTGTAGGACCCTCCAATAACCCCCACATCACTCGGAGCAAAGGCCAGAGGCCCTGCGGCTCACCCCTGATGTCCTCCACCTGGTCCCCACAAGCCTCTGGCACCCTGGTCTCCTTGCTGCTCCCCCTGGGCCTGGATGGCTCCACCCCAGGGCCTTTGCATGGAGGTTCCTTTTCCTCAGACCCTCTGCCCCAGATGTCTGGGTGAGCAACCACCTCCACGCCCTCAAGCTTGGTCTTCAACATCACCTGTCAACAAGCTCTCTTTTCACTACTTAAAAACCACAGCTCCCTCCCTCTCCCACACTATACTTTCTATTTTGTTTCTTTACCTCTCTTTCCTTTTTCTGTGGCCTGCATTACCTGGCTGTGTATGTATGTATGTGTGTATGTGTGTGTATGTATAAGTGTGTATGTGTGTGTATGTGCATGTGTGTGCATGTATGTGTGCATGTGTATGTGTGTGCATGTGTGTATGCATGCATGTGTGTATGTATATGTGCATATGTGCATGTATGCACGTATAAGTGTGTATGTATGCATGTGTGTATGTATGTGTATGTATGTGTGCGTGTATGTATGCACACATGTATGCATGTGTGTATGTGCATGTATGTATGCGTGCATGTATGTATGCACACATGCATGCATGTGTGTATGTATGCATGTGTATATATGCATGTGTGTGTATGTGTGTATGTGCATGCATGTGTGTATGTCTGCATGTGTGTATGTGTATATGTGTGTGTGTATTCCATAGCATGTTGCCCTCTGACATGCTGTGCATTTTTCTTGTTTATTGTATTATTATTCATGGCCTCACTTCCCCACCAGGATCCTTGTTTACGTTGCTCATTGATACATCCCAAGTACCTGGAACAGTGTCTGGTATATCGCGGATGTTTAGTAAGTCTTGAGAGGCTCACTGAGTGAACAGTGTTAATTTTCATGGTTTAAAACTTTATATAAATGGTACCATACTCGCTGCCGTACTTGCTGTCGTACTCGCTGCCGTACTGTGCACTTGCATTTTTGCTCCGCGTTCTGTTTTTGGCATTTATCCACATTGATCCATGTAGCTCTCATTTATTTTAACTGCCATGTGGTATTTCGCTGTATATGCCCATTTCTTTATCGCTTCTCCCCGTGTTGGATATTCAGGGTGTGTCCGGTGCTTTGGACACACAGTGTTGTGAGGAATATTCTGTACGCATCTTCTAGCACATGCATACTTCTTGTGGTAGTTTCTCTCTCACAGTGGATGGCCTATTAGAATGACTAGGGAATTCTTAGCTATTAGTTTGTTCCCAGAAGTTCTGGTTCAATTGATCTGGTCTGGGTTCAGTGCTGCAGAAATGTTTTTTCTTTTAAAGACATTCCTGGATGACTTTAACGACAGCCGGGGTTGAGAACCACGGCTCCTGGCTCGAAGGAGCAGATCTATGTTTGTGTTCTTGGGCATATCTAGAAAGAGATATGCTTTCTTTCTGGCTTGTCATCTACTTGCTTCAATTTTCCTAAAGGTTGCTTTCAAAGTGGTGGCACCATGCGTGATCCCAGCGGTGAATGCAGATTCCCACGTTTTCATTAACATTCTTTAAGTTGTTTGACCCTTGGGGTTTTCTGATAGGATGAGGGTGAAACGCATCCTCTTGTTCCCACAGCGTTCCCCTAATTCCGGGGGCTGAGTTTATTGATCGTTCAAGCATCTTCTTTTGTGACGGGACCGCTGATGTCCTTGACTCAAAGATGTTAAAAATACGTTTAGAAGGATCTTTATTTTTTCCTGCTGCTGTACGAGGCACCCTTTCTGGCCCCGTGTTTCCTTGCCCTTCTTTCCAGCAGCAGATTTTACTCAGAACAACTTCAGTGCTGTGGACACAAAGACGCAGGCCTTGGAGAGGCGGGTCAGCCCTGCCTCGGGGCTGCTGAGTGAGGTGCCAGATGCGTTTGTTCCTCATTTACTCATTTGCGTTTGTTCCTCATTTACTCGTTCCTCGCAGACTGGGTTGTAACACCATGTACCACCCTCTGAACCCAGAGATCAAGGGCTGGCTGGCCCTGTAGCCCCAAGGAGCTCCGTCACCGGCCAATGGGGAGGCGAACCCGTGGTGACCCACTCAGCGGCACCGCCAAGGGCTGAGCGTGGCGCCAGCGGCGGAAGGCCCGGGGTCACCGTCCCAGGCCGGGGCTCCGACCCCGAGTCCGCAGGGTCCTCTCCAGGCACCTTCCATCTGGGGTCTGGCTTCCACTCCCGGCCGCGGCGTCCTGATTTCCAGAAACCAGGCGGCCGCTGGAGGGGAGAAGGGGGAGCGGGCGCAGCGGGGGAGGGAGGAGAAGAAACGCCGGAGAAGGGAGAGTAGAGCGAGGAAGGACGCGAGGCGGGCGGAGCGCGGGGAGGTGCAGGGGGCGGGGAAGGGGCGGCGCCGCGAGGGCGGCTCCTGGCGGCGGGACTGTGGCTGTGGCCCCGGGAGAGCCGGGTGGGGCCTCGGGATGCAGCCGCCGGTGCCCGGGCCCCTGGGCCTGCTGGACCCCGCAGGTGAGCGCGGGGCTGGGGGCTCGTCTCGGCTCCTGCGGGGGAGCGTGGGGACCCCGGGGCTGGGACTACAGGTCCCCGGCCGGCCCGGGCGGAACCTGCGCGGAGACGCGGCACGGGGTCTGGTCCCTCCGCCTCCTTCGAGCTCTGTCTTTGGAACACTTTGCATTTCGCACTGGGGTCGGGCGTTCGTCCTACCGGTTCGTTCATTCATTCTCTCTCCCTGTCTCTCTCTCTGTCTCTGTCTCTGTCTCTCTCGCTCTTTCTGTCTCTGCCTCCTCAGTCTTTGCCTTTCTCTGACTCTGTGTCCGTTCCTCTTGGCCTCTCTCTCCCTGTTACGTTTTATTATGAGGAACAGGCGCCCCAAAGTGCGCTCCTTCCCCATCTCTTCCGTTTATTCCAACCTACACCATTTTCCGGGAAAACTTCGTTTGGAAGAGCGAGGTAGCCTTTTCCTGTTTGAACGTGCAGAGGCGCTCACAGAACTGGACAGTGTTGCTTGGTTTCGGCTCGCCCCTCTCTCGTGTTTCTCCCCGGTGTGTTCACGGAATCTCCAATTCTTCCACTTCCCAGACCAAGCCCGCTGCAGCCTCGGAGCCAGGCAAAGGCTGGGAAAACAGGAAACCTGTTGCGTGTTCACCAGTTCGCAAGCCGGGCTCGGGGGCTCTGCCGGGAAGTGGCCAGGACTGGAAGGATGCCGGGTGTCTTCCTGAGGGGGAGAGGGCTGGGCAGATTTCAGAACAAAAGAGAAACAGAGTTCCCTAGAAAGTGAAGCCCTGACGGCTGGAGGGAGGGATGGAGTGGTGTCTAGGGGGCTCTGCCGCTCCCTCAGAAATAATCCAACACAAACTTCTGGGGATTAACCTCACAACCCTTTTACTGCGGCATCGTTCGGAACCGGACGAATTACTGTTACTTAAAATAATCAAATAATTTGGCTTCTTTCTAAAAGAAACCACTATATGCCTTCCAATCTAAAGCAAAATGCTCTATGGTCAAATGTATTAATGTGGATTAGTCTATTGGTGTTTAATAATGATAACTATTATTATTATTTATTAACTAGTTTTATCATTATTAGAATGCCTTAATGTTTAAAAATAGCATCTGACTTAGATTTTCTTCTGACAAAGAACTTTAAACCTTAAAACAATACTTGGAGCTGGTCTTTTTAGTATATGAAACATTGGTGTATCTGGGTAGGATTATGGGTCTTTTTGTTTGGAGCTGGTCTTTTACTAAAATGTATAAAGCATTGGTGTGTCTGGGGTTGGATTATGGTCTTTCTGCTTTGGTGTGTCGGGGTGGATTATGGTCTTTCTGCTTTGGGGTATCTGGGGGTGGGTTATGGTCTTTCTGCTTTGGGGTATCTGGGGGTGGATTATGGTCTTTCTGCTTTGGGGTATCTGGGGGTGGATTATGGTCTTTCTGCTTTGGTGTGTCTGGGGGTGGATTATGGTCTTTCTGCTTTGGGGTATCGGGGGTGGGTTATGGTCTTTCTGCTTTGGGGTATCTGGGGGTGGATTATGGTCTTTCTGCTTTGGTGTGCCTGGGGGTGGATTATGGTCTTTCTGCTTTGGTGTGTCTGGGGGTGGGTTATGGTCTTTCTGCTTTGGTGTGTCTGGAGGTAGATTGTGGGTTTTTCTGCTTTGGGGTATCTGGGGGTGGACCATAGTCTTTCTGCTTTGGGGTACCTGGGGGTAGGATTATGGGTTTTTCTGCTTTGCCCTTCTTTGTTCACTACCCTGGGCATGTGTAAAATCAGGACGAAAGAGGAATTGACGGCTGAGTGATTACAGTTTTACCTGGGATTGTTACTTGGACACCATGACTGGTGTCCCCACATGATTAAATGGAACTCACTCTTCTTTTTGGGCGTTCCAGGTCCGGCTGGCAGGAAGGCCGGATCTTAGAACCCTTCCAAGCAGTGCCACCTCCCATGCTTTGTGACATTCCCCTTCCTGGCTCTGTGGAGTAGAGGAAATGGGTCTGAGGGGCAGGAAGAACCTGACCTCCAGCCTCGCGTGTCTTCCAGGTAGGACCTGGCGTGGGCACAGGCTCATGTGGTTCAGCTCCTCCAGCTAAGGCTGGGGAAGGAGCCAGGAAGGGGAGAGCAGGTGGGATGGGAGAAGTGGGGGCTGGTGGGGAGTGACAAGGTGATATTCTGAGATATCCTAGATGGGCTGCACCTGGGGAAGACTAGAATTAGAAAAATCAGCGCACTTGATAGCAGAGAGGTAGCTGTTGGCCCCTTCAGCTTCACATCTCAGAACTCCTCCTTGCAACTCCAGTGGGAGAAATGCTGGTTAAGAATAGCCGCTACGCCGTCTTAAAGTTCACACCACCCTGATGATTAGCATATGCATTCCATTTACAAAAACCTATATGAGAGCCCACGTATCGTGTCTCACTGGACGCTTATCACAATCTCAAGAGGTGGGTGAGCAGGTGGTTCTCATGATTTCCATCCTACAGGTCAGGAGACTGAAGTGCCTTCATTCATTCCGTACCAGGAGATGTGTCTATGTCCTCATCTGAGCCCCGGGAACCGGCGACAAACAAGAGACAGAGCTCTTGGCTCTCATAGGGTTCTCTTCTCCCAGGCTCAGGGAGATTAAATGGCCGCCCAAGACCACACAATGGGTCTGGACAGACCCAGAATGGTTTGGGTCCAGTCCCTGTAAGCTGCCTCTGCAATAGAAACCTATTGGTAGATATTTTAATTAATAGTTGGGGCACTTAGGAGCACTTTAATTTTCACAGTGCGTGTAATAACAGTATTTCCGGGACAGGAAAAAAAAAAAAATCAAGGAAATTATTCAGGTGATTTTAATTATCTTTCTCCTAAGTGAAAGCCCCTTTCTCTTGAAAATCTGACCTTATAATTATCTCTTATGCTAATTATAAAGATATCCCACCTTCTTTTCTTGAGTTTATTTTTTTTCTCATTTTTATGCTGTGTCATGTATTTATAGAATGTGTTTAAGGTTGGGAGTCTTCTTTTTGTTATCTCTATTATATCTGGAGTCAAAATATCACCATTGTGTAATTGAATGAGATGATTTGCAACCATTGCTCCCAGTGCCCCATGTAAGTTCTACTGTCTTTCTAGACTTGTATAATCTAGGAATCTGTGATAGGAATGCTGATAAAAGGGTGGCTCATACCTTCTGCTTTTTATTTTGTAGCAGATGGGGGGGAAGTTAGACTCAGGAAAGAGGGGTAAACATAGCAAAGTTAGGTTGAAAATGGTTTGTAGGAGGATTTACGTGGTTTCAGAGGAGATGTGTCTAACTCTTCGCATAGTAATTAACAAGTCAGCATGTTACCGATTGACTTGACAAGGTCAGTTAGCCCAGTGGGTCTTGCTGGGCCCCCACTCTTCATGCCAAGGAACCGAGCAGAGCTTCCAGCTTTAAGAACCAGAATCCAGTCACAGGGTTCCTGACAGACGGACGCCCACAGGAGGCTGGGACAGGAGCCCCACGGAAGGTTCTACCTGTGGGTCGAAGCAGACGCTGAGTCATCTGGTTAACTATTTTGAGCATAATATTATATGCATGCAGTGCATTTAATTAAGAAAAATCGCACAACAAAATCCTTTGAGAAGGACAGCGTTTGTCTGATAATTTTCTCAAATACTTAGTCCCATAAAATTTAGTTTTAGAAATTGTATTGCTCTTAAAATACATTTAAACAGTCAAAAGATTGGAATGGGAGCCTAAGGAAAAGCAGGAAAGGCTGAAGCGGGAATTGTGTGAGTTGAAGGCACCTAGCATTTGGCTGCATTGGCAGGTGTTACATGGAGGCTGGTGAGGGTGACCTGGAGCCTCTGGTCATGATCAAATGAGATAAGGAAGTTAGGCTGCTCTGAAAATCGACACACAGCCCAATCCATAGATGGTGTTATTATCATCAATATGATTATTTTGTGTAATTCCACAATAGCTGTTTCATTAACTTCCAAAATGTGGAATTGCATATATTTTTAAATTTTGTGTCCATTTTTAAAAAGTTTACCTACCTTTCTAAAACGAATCAACCAGAACGGAGTTTCACCCACGGGAGGTGCCTGCCTTCCTCTTGCCCACTTGCTCCCAGCGTGGGTTTGCCGTTTCTCACCTCGACTTCCCGACAGAGACCCGGGATCTGTCGCCATCGCTCCTGTCTCTCGGGCAAACGACCGTGAACATATAACCTTTCAGGTTTTTAACAAATTGCAAGATTTCAGTGAAAAAATTACTATAAAGCATTGTGGTCCTAATTTAAGAAAAAAATGTTTTAAAAAGTACATAGTGCATTGAAAAAAGACCATAAGATTTTATGCCTACTTGTTAATTTAGGTTACCATGAATTTTATTTTCCCTTTTGCATTTTTCAGTACTTTATGAGTGTTCTACAAAAAATCACTCTGCTCTTCTGAGCAGCGTAAAAATCACACTTTCCAACATATACCCACTGTCTCCCTTTTCCTTGTAAGAAT